>NC_000010.11:8494848-8646363 GCF_000001405.40 Homo sapiens | reverse complement strand
GGAGCTCAAGACCAGCCTGGGTAACATGGCAAAACCCCATCTCTACAAAAAATGCAAAAATTAGCCAGGCATGGTGCACCTGTAGTCCTAGCTACTCAGGAGGCTGAGGTGGGAGAATCGCTGAACCTGAGAGGCAGAGATTGCAGTGAGCCATGGTCGCACCACTGCACTCCAGCCTGGATGAGAATGAGACCCTGTCTCAAAAACAAACAAAAAAAAAGAGGGTGGGGGGAAGCATTCATTCAGTGGATATTAAAGTAATACATTATCAGAAATGAATAGGGAGACACAGTAGGAGTGTTACAGCAGAAATGAAGTGGTTTCCATAGTCAACAGGGCGAAAAACTAAGAGTAACAAAAGCCTCTTCCCTTCTTAACTCAATTCTATTTTCCTAGTATACAAGGTACCTTGGAGGAACTATTCTTAGAAATCCACAGCAGCACACTTAAAGACTGTCACTGGACTGAATTTGATTGCAGCAACTACTGTTCATCACTACAGAGTTATCGAAAAGGAGAACCATGAATAAAGTTCTTGTTGAACTGGAACTCATTCAGTGAAAAAGGGAGGCTCCAAGGCTGGTAGAAAAGCATCAGTAAACAATTCTTCAAATTTTAATTCATAAAGGGGACTGACCCTAAGACAGCAGATGTAGACAGATCCACAGTGAAAAGGGTGGAGGCAGCAAGAGATAGTGGACTCTTGGTCTAGGCTATGGAAAGATTTATGCAGGTACAAAGCCAATAGGAATGAATCAAGTTTGCAAGATCCACATCCTTGGGCACCATGTATGCACTGTGAAAGTCACCCCAGGAAACTAGTGTCACCAGTGTTATTTTTTCAGGAAAGTAAAATAGTCTGTGCTTAAAGAGAGCCCCTTTTAGAATTTCATTCTAAAACACACTCCCCCAGAGCGGTCCGTTATGGAACACTTGACACTTCTTAAATCGACTAGCAGCACTTTCTCTTCCTCTGAGGTTTGCATTATGACCTGGACATGTAGGATAAGTCAAGAGAGCTGGTTATGGGTACATGTCTCTTTTTCTAATGAATTTACAGCCAGCACATAACATTTTTTAGATTGTTAACTACAGGCCCACGGCCTCTCCCCAGCCTCATTCATACTATAATTATAAATCCACTGATGTCATTCATCCCACATGCTTCCTTGTTGCTACCTTGTCTTTCAATGCCACTGACTATTTCTGTTGTCTTCTGGTAGACCTTCCTGTCACTAGACCAATTACCACCATCTATTCAGCTCTTCCTTCTGACCCAATGGACTCCTTGTTCTCCCACCGATGACAGTCTTAGAAGGCAACAGCCAAACTGGCTGTTAGCTTCTGACCTCTCTATAGACAACCTTATTATGGTAATTGCAAGGCTGGAAATAGCAGACACTAGGCCAATTACACCTGTCCCTGTCCCAATTCAACCTGGGTTTAAATTACTCAGATGGGGTGGAGAGCATAATTTGGCTCAGCTGCATAACAACTTTTTCTCTATTCTTGTGAAATTTGGAGACAGACATTTCTCATTAGGCTTGTCATTAGGACATAATGGCCCAGTATTTCTTTAAATGACATAATTCTTTATCAAACAAACCAATGCACTATATTAATAGATAACTTTACCGTGGTATTTTAAAGCAAACAAATCTTTAAAGTGTTAAAGATTTAACTCCTCAAAATATAGCAAGACATAAACTGAAAACGATATACTCAATGTTTTCCTCCACAGCCATTTTTATATGAATGATATACATAGATGTATGTATCTAAAATAAATAAGTCCTTATAAATGTTATATTTGTATGTGCTTAAATTTTTAAAATTATACATAGTTAAATCTGTAAATGGATAGCTGTGGCATACACACATAATTATATTAAAAATATATATGTGCACATTATAGCTAAATGAATTCCTTTTTTAATTGCATTATATAAAACATTAAGAGAGGGAAGCTTTTACATTCATTTTAAAACTATTCGTGTTGAACATCCTAGTAATACCAATGTCTTATAATATGCCCCTATTAATTTAAATTGAAATTAATGGAATATATTCTTGTATTAATTTTAGTTAATTCTTAATAGAATGCCTTTATTTGCTTTCAAGTCCTGTATTTCCAGAAGGGCTTCCCTACTTGAATTATCCTTGAAAAGAAATTTGAGATGCAGAGATGTTAGAGCTCTGAATTGCTTCAGTAATCCCGTGAGTCTTATAGAGCTCTCTGAGGATGCTCCAAGTCTAAAGCACATTCCTTCTAGAAATAGGAATTCCTGGGACCCTAAATCAAAAAGCTTCTCCATTCTCTGTCCTGGAATCACTATTGGTTTTTCAGCCAGTCTTTTCTGTACTGCAAGTAGCCACTTAAGTTACGCTGAAAAGAACAATACCAGGCTCTATAAACCCTCTGCTGTCTTGAGTAGAAAGGCTTAGTCTCCATCATCCCAATGAGATATTAAAGTCAGAGTCCTTTTCTGGGCTCCAGAATCTTTCCAGGATGAGCTAACTAAGGTCTCCCCCAACCAAGAAATCAGAGCACAGCCTTATAATTTTACCATGGAGCATCTTCCCTCAGGCCCATGTGGTTCCCCCTTTACTGAGGTCTGCCATTGCTTTTACATCTACTGGATCTCTCATTCCCCGACTAAATCAGAGGTGAAGGTGGAAGCCACAGGGCTCTGTTCCCCTAACTCCATTACTGCTTCCTCTCTCTCAGGCTGTTTCCTAAATTGGGGGTGATAATCACACCAAAAAAAAAGAGAGTCATTGTGAAATTTAGAGAAGTATTTACAATTCTTAGAGTTCCATGCCTTACTTATAATGGGAATCTTATACATTTTGGCATCCTACAGGGTTTGGAGTCAATCAGACCTAAGCTCAACTCCTGACTCCAAAGTGGACAGACTGTTGGAACTTTGAGTCATCACCTAACTCTCTTTAGGAGTCAGTATTAAATGAGATACTGTATACAAAGTTGTTAGGACTCCCTTGATCTGCCCCTAGATACCTCCCAATGGTTCTTGCACTTTTATTTCTTTCCTCTTCCTTTTCATTCCTTCCTTAGATAATCAAGTCATAAACCTATCCATTGTGTAAGGACCACATACAGTCATATAGTTGCTGTATGATAAACGTACTTGATAGCAATAACTTAAGCATACCCTGAGAATGACCCTGAATATGTACGGCAAATACACCTGAATATGTGTTCCAAGCCAGGGAATCCTGGAGTGGCCAACCCGGAGATTCATTTCTTGTCTGTGAAGAACATTTGAGCCCTTCTGCCTGTCCAGTGGAACACAGGCCATATAGGGGATTGAGGCCCTGAGTTTTGGGTTGGATGAAGGTTGCCAGATGGAGGACATTAAGGGGAGGATGTTAAGTGAAAATGTTGTATAGACTGCATGTTGTTTGCAAGTGATGATGGTTTTCCTTCCCAGCCTGCTGCCACTGGACCGTACGTAAGGTGGTTCTCCTATGCAGCCCACTGCCACTGGACTCTCTGCCCTATGTGTTAGCCCCTGATAAAACTCCATGTCTCATTTGTTGGCTCTGGGTCTCTTCTTTCATGTCTTGAATCTGTGCCTTCTCTATGTGAGTTTGTAGGTGCTCAACACAACAGTTGCATTTCCATTTCTCGGAGGAATGTCAGGTCTTCCTGCTCCCCTTGGTTGGTCTTTGATATGGTTTGCCTGTGTCCCCACCCAAATCTCATCTTGAATTGTAGCTCCCATAATTCCCAAGTGTTGTGGGAGGAACCCAGTGGGAGATCATTGAAACATGGGGGCAAGTCTTTCCTGTGCTGTTCTCATGATAGCGAGTAAGTCTCATGAGATCTGATGGTTTTATAAAGAGGTGTTCTCCTGCACATGCTCTCTCTCTTTGCCTGCTGCCATCCATGTAAGACATGACTTGCTCCTCCTTGCCTTCAGCAATGATTGTGAGGCCTCCCCAGCCATGTGGAACTGAGTCCATTAAACCTCTTTCTTTTGTAAATTGCCCAGTCTCGGGTATGTCTTTATCAGCAGTGTGAAAGTGGACTAACAGTCTTGCTCTGTGCTGCCTCGGCTATCTCTTTTTCCACATCTAAGACGTCCAACTTTGCAACTCCTGACACCAGGTCCTGGCAAGCAATCATCTCCTACAGCCGAGGTAATTTTCACTCACAAGGTCATCACTGATGAATCATTAGGTCACTTGGGTTAATACACTGACAGTGGTTATTGTACTTTACAAACTTCCAATGGAATCTAAAGACACCATAGCAGATCACAGGGGCTTCTTTCCCTGTATTCACTCTCAGATTCTTCCAGAACAAACTGGGAACCACGTAGGGAACAAGACTCTTCCAAAGGACTCTGACCTCTCCCCTTCCCCACAAATTTCATTCAGTCCTTCCTCATTAATGTCCTAAATATGCTTGTTTTGAGTTTATGGAGATGCCTTTTCAACTCTGGCCAAAGACATTCTAGCAGCATGTCTGCTTTGGGATTTTTATACCAGTAGGCACCAAATAGGAGCAGTGACAGAGCTGTCTCAAAACCCCTCTGATTGTGGAGCATACAAAGCAGCGATTTTCAGCCCGAGAGCACCTCAGCTTCACCAGCGGGGCTTGTCAAAGCCCAAGTGGTTGAGTCCCATTGCAAGTCCTGGTTCAGTTGGTGTGAAGTGGGGCCTGAAGATGCATATTTCTAAAAGTTTCCGGATGATGTCGGTGCTGTGGTTCAGGAGCTGCTGTTGGAGAACCACTGATATAAAACATGAGGGGGTCTTTGTTACCCTTTCTTCATTATATGGTTTCTCCTCTGAGTCTCTCTGCTGCTTTGGTGCTTCAGAACATAAGAAAGGCCAAAACCTTGTTGCTATGAAAAAGGCTATTTCTTGGATACCACTTATTTCTGCTTTAAGTGGCATTAAGTCCTGCTCAAGGCCTGGGGGTGTACAAGAAGAAAGGAAGGGAGAGAACAGCAAAAATTATGAAATGTGCCTCGGACTTTATAAAGCAGTGGATAAGACTTCATGGATAGCAACATTTACGAACATTCAAACTTATTTCCCTAAACCCAGATTGAAAATAAACACATAGGATTGGAGGAGAGGGAAAGTCATTTTTCCTTTAACCCAACAAAGTACACTATGTTTTTTTAATCCTCTCTCTCTTTTAGATGAACAACACAGGATTGCCTGGCCAGAGCTTGTCATCTGTGCTTATCTCATCTGGGCTGTCTATAATTAGATTGCAAGCCCCTTTGGGCAGTAGCTGTGGAGCTGTAATCAGATTTTGTACAGTGCCTGGCACAGTCTCTTAACCAGAAAAAGGGTGTACAATAAATATTTATTGATGATGATTATCTTTAATTCCTCAGGAAGCTCAGGCAATTCTAGGCCACTCTACTTAGTTGAATGATAATGGAATTGATAAACTATCATGGGAGGAGAAGCAGGTCTGGTAGATTTCTTAAAGCCAACCCACCATCAGATATTCAAAATAGGGAGGTATCATTTAGTACCCTAGGGGAATTAGAGGTTTAATGCACTACTTTATGCCAAATGTTTAAGAGTGGCCTGAGCACTGGAAAAGAAGAAACACCATAAACCAGGACTTATCAATGAACTTTCTGGCACTTCCCTTTAGGGGTGCTGAAGTTTGTAATATTAGAGATTTTTCTCTTCCTCTATACAATTTTCCAGTAAGTTGAATAAATTGATCTACATGGTAAGCATTACTTTGATTTTTGTCAAGCATTGTCATCCACCAGATGACTTTTCTTTGTTAAAAATCATGGAACTGACATAACTTGAAAGACGATACATGTTTGGCTGCCACAGTCTCTTCCATCTGAAAAACATTTCAAACCTTTAAGAATCAAGCCTGACACAAGCAGTGAAGTAATTGGGGATTTTTTTTTTATGTTCAAAAAGAGAAAAAGAGTTTAACGGCTCCTGAAATGCCTCCAAAAGACATGTGTCTAATTAAAAACACACGTACAACCAGTAAATGAGCAGGTGCTATGTTACTTACTGGGGGAAGTGAGACAAGAAATTTCAGGATACAGAAAAACCTGGAAGACTTCTTTTTTCTAGGCATACTTAGGTGCAAAAGAAGGCTGCACTTAAAAGGTACACCCAGGTAAGATAATAACTGCATCAAGGCATACACTCTTGATTGCTAGCCCAGCCAGTGAGAATATTTGGCTGTCTTCCAGATACTCCATTGGCAAGAACTCTGGAAAGCAACAGATTTTGTGAGCCTTTACCCTACTCTTCAATGCGAATATGGGGTTAAAGAAATACATTGTGTAAGAGGTAAAAGGGTGAGAGACAGAGACAGAGAACTAGGAGTTCAAGAAGAAAGCAGTGAGATTGCCCAACGTGAGCTTGTCTGTTCAATACATTGTTTGGAGAAGACATAATTCATTGTTTCTTGCAGATGATTCCTCTGGAATTCTTTTCTTGGCTTCTAAGCCTCCATCACCTCATGACCTTAAATATTTCACTTACCGCCTTGTTCCTTTGCCTTTGTGCCTTGCTCCTCTCTTCCATACATGGAGCTTCTGTTGATTGAAAAATGGAGCTATGTGGCCATTCAGACAATGACGACACTTCACCTGGATCTCTCTCACCAGAGCTAAGGTTCAAGCATCTGTTACCTTTCATCTATTTAGCACAAAGAAAGGTTTGCTCCTATAGTTAGGGACATGGTGTTCTGGCGATTTTTCTCTTGTGTTTGATCTCTTCCTGTACATTTGGAACCAGAGAGTCAAAAGTCCATCCAATTACTTATATGGGATTGGAATTTTGGCTTTCATACACTGCCTTGAGTTTCTGGGAAGTGGAATTTAACACCGTAGAGGCTGAGCTGCTTGCTTGCTTGCTTGCCTGCCTGCCTGCCTGCCTGCTTGCTTTCTTTCTCTCTTTCTTTTTCTTTCTTTCTTTCTTTCTTTCTTTCTTTCTTTCTTTCTTTCCTTCTTTCTTTCTTTCTTTCTCTCTTTCTTTCTTTCTTTCTTTCTCTCTTTCTTTCTCTCTCTGTCTTTCTTTTCTTCTTTCTTTCTTTCTTTTTCAAAGCTTTGCCCTGTAGCCCAGGCTAGAGTGCAGTGGCATGATGTTAGCTCACTGCAGCCTTCTGCCTCCCATTTTCAGGTGATTCTCCTGCCTCAGCCTCCCAAGTAGCTGGAATTACAGGTCCGCACCACTGCACCTGCTAATTGTTTGTATTTTTTAGTAGAGACAAGGTTTCACCATGTTGGCCAAGATGGTCTTGAACTCCCGACCTCAGGTAATCCGCCCGCCTCGGCCTCCCAAAGTGCTAGGATTATAGCAGTGAGCCACTGCACCCAGCCAAACTCTACTTTTCCTAGGTGAATTCCTAGCATGTGAAAAATAAAGGAAATATGAGAAGTTCGTGTGGGTGTCATGCAGGATGACCCAAGAAAATGATGTAAGAAATGATATAAAACTGTTCCTCTGAAAGAAACTGCCCAGCGTTCAGAAACACCTTTCTGCTTCCTGCAACTGGAGCCCTGCTCAATTAAAGGAACACCGTGCTGCTAGCCAGGATATTTGAATGTTAGGCATGGCCGTTGACCAACTCTATTTCCTTTGGCAAATTGCTTCAGGTCTCTGATTCTCAATTGCCCCTTTTATAAAATAAGCAATTTGGAAAAGATGACTGCTGGGATCCCCTCTAACTCTAACAGTCCAGGAAAGCAGTAAATGTTCATTATGGTTCCCAAGAGTAAGGATTCTGCTCAAAAGATCTGTTTTGAATCCCAGCTTCTCTGTTCATAAGCTGTGTAAACTTGGCCTTGGGCAGGTTTATCACCTCTCTAAGCCCAAGTTTCCTCACCTAAGAAGTGGAGATAACCATAGTACCTTCCTCAAAGGGTTACTATGGGGATTAACTAGGATGACGCATGGTTGGTGCCTGGCACCTTGGTCATTTGCTTTACGATTATTCTGGGATCCTAGAAGCACCCTTTCAGATACTGTCAGTTGGGAGCAGTGCAGCAAGGGATTAGGAGCACAGATGATGAACAGTCTGCCTGGGTTGGCGTTCCATCTCAGTCACTGAGATGGCGACAAGGTGTCTGGTATTAAGTTGACAATGCCCATTCCCTATTATCAGTCTCTTATCACTAAAGATACACTTGTCTTTGGGAGGGGCAGGGTGGATTTGCAGAATTTTTCATTTCCATCTTTGCACTTTATATATTCCAAATTTTCTACAATTACTTTTAAAACAGAAAATAAGGCCCCTTTTGGTTGGCTTTAAATACCATAATCAACTACATCAGGGCCTCATCACTAATGTATGCATAAACTTCTATCTTACGGACACTACTCATTTCTTTGATAGAAGTAAAAGTTTGCCTCCTCCTCATTCAAATTCTTATCATGAAAGCAAGTCTGGCTTCATGAATCATTGCAACAGAAATCAAACATCTGCTGTTTATGGAAATATTCTGAGGCCTCCAGGCCACACAGTATGTTTTCTCCCAGCAACATGAAATTTCTCCCCAGCGCTTAATTGCTTTGGGGTAAGAACTTGTCAGCATACGATGACAAATAAATTTTCCCGGAGAGTCCATGAGGGAATCTTAACAATTGTGAGTTCAGTTAGAGGCTCTAGGAGCAGACACCATGGCCTGCAAAACAGGGACTCTCCTGTGTCTTCTGCCTGAGCTAATGACCAACTCTACTTGATACAGATGCAAGCTCATCTCCCTGCTAGAGGGTGAGATAAAGGGTCTTAAATAATACCTCTCAGCACTCCAGATTATTCTCTACAGTGGTTTTCCTTGTTTTTTTTTTTTTTTTTTTTTTTTTAATTTTGGAGACATGGTCTCACTCCGGTCGCTCAGACTGGAGGGCACTGGTCTGATCTCAGCTCACTGCAGCCTGGACCTCCCAGGCTTGGGCGATCATCCCACCTCAGCCTCTGGTAGCTGAAGTACAGGCATGTACCACCATTTTGTACTTCTAGTAGAGACAGGCTTTCACCATGTTGCCCAGTTTGTACAATAAAGGATTCTTAGAGAAGAAGGGAGAAAAAGATTCTAGGAAGAAAGCCAGAAAGAGGAAGTTTCCCAGAGGATAAGGGAAGAGATGCCAGTGGGTAGGAGTGTGGAGTGACAGAGCACAGCAGAAAGAAAGGGAGGAATTATTTACCTCAGGGAAGGACACTTTTCGTTAAAACTTTCCTATTAATTTATATACGTACAACTTGACAGTTTATAAAAATGCTAACCTATATCAACATTTTTCCCCACCAAAGTGTTCCCAAGGGCAAAGGTAAGTGAATACATGTTTCCATGCTTGTGTCAGGGGCACACAGCAAGGGAAGGCAGAATGGGCATGACCTAGATTAGATCCCAGAAGCCTTCAAATTCCTTATAAGACTTGGGACTGCATCTTAAAATAATATTGTTTTTTTTTATTCTTTGATAATAAAAGAATGGAACCAAATCCTGGTTGTCTGATTCTTTGCCCAGTGCTCTTTCTTATGTCTAACACTGCCTCGTCTTATGAATAACTCTGACATTACAGAGAAAGACTATTGTTTGTTCAGTTCAACACTCAATTCCATAGGTGCTAGCAATTATGAAAAAGGCTGTTAGTATCCAGCGGGGAAAGCAAAGGATCCGCAGGTGGTAACACCCTACTGAGAGCAGAGGGGGATGAATACATAAAATTTTGCAGAAGCACGTTGGGAATTCCGCCATCTTCACATAGCACCCCTGCAAGCTACGGCCGACAACCTGCCAGACTAATCAGACAATGATCACTACCCACCTCTGCTGATTCATGTAGGAACACATGATACGATCGTTAAAAATCTACCATGTATCTCTGGAGACTTTGAAGCTCAGGTCAAGAAACAGAGACCTGGGGGCACAGGTAATGTCTGAATTCCTCTTTCATCATAAGAAGACCTGACTTCAGAAAATATGTTAGAGTTGTTAACAATCAGTTCAGTCGATGGTAGAGTAATAATCACCATTTTTTTTCTAAATTAAGCCCTTGTGACTTATATTCAATGAAAAAAATACAATATATATAGGAAGAGAGATAATCCTTTCTCATGTTAGAGTTATGGTTTAATGGAAAGTATACTGACTGACAAGAGGAGTTTATTTTGCAAAGAACACGTGGGAAATTTTTTGTCAGAGGCTCCGAGATGCCATCAAAAAGAAAGGACACTGAATTCAAGGAACAGAGAGTAAGAAATCCAGAAGAAAAAAAAAACAACTAAAGATAAATTGTATGGACAATATGACTGCAACAAAGTGGAAGAGCAGCTTCCAAAGAGGTGATTATCTTCGGAAATTTGTCAGGAACAATCTATGTATGCATATTAAAGACAAAGTAAATACAGAATTTAGGTTTCTAAAATGGGAAGTAAATGTTACTATTTGTTTAAAAGAAAAAGATCTACTAGGAAGTAAAGCATAGTGGGTAGTAGCATGATGAAGGTGTACACTTGTGCGGAATCTACCATTCTGAAAGTGAAAGACCATTGAGATTAAAATTAAAAATTAAAGAAACACTGTTATGGTGGGAGAATAAACCAGGCAGCCCAGATTTATGAAGGCCATGCATCATGCTTACTTTAATTTTATTCTAAAATATGAGATACCTGAAAGATATATAAGTGTATCCCACCCCAATAGGAGGCGGGGCTAAGTTGGTCCTTCAGAGATGTCTTCAGCACGGACAAGAGGTCAGACCCTGTCATCTCACATATTGGAGACAGGCCACCTCAGGAAGGGAGGGTAACTTCAGGCAAGGCAGCTGTCTGCAGCAGAGAGACTCCTGCCTACAGCACTCTCAGCACCAGGAAGAGGGGATCCCTCTATCCTGAAGAGGGCCTGGGCAGTACGTCACAGGGGCTGCTGCAATGGCCAAAACGTTTGCCAAGCATGATATATTTTCTCAACACTCCTATGGAGGAGTACTATGGTAAACGGTAATTTAGAAAGGGGAAACTGAGGCACAGAGTAATTAAGAAACTTACCTATCCAAGGTGACCCAGTCAATGGAGGTGGCAGCTCCAGGATTTGAATGGAGGCCATCTGACTCTGAGGCCTTTGCGTTTCTCTGTAAGTGATGGTGCCTTTGGTCATTGCCTGCTGTCATCATCAGTCCACACAGGAGCTGTTATTATTATTTTACTTTATTTATTGTTTATCCCAATCCCCATTCCTATTTTCTTCTTCTATACATGGTTCTGTGCTAGAGAGGTCACATTCTTCTTCTTCTTTTTCTGAATTCGGCACTCTTTTTAACACCTTTCCATGTTAACATATATGCCTCTACTTCATGGCTTCAAACTGCTTAATAATTCATCTCTGTAAAAAATGTTTATAGTCTCTTTCAGATTTGATTTTACTATGTCACGTTTTGGGGGTTAAGGGTAGTATTCTGATTTGTTGAATGTATAGACTTTTGATTGTGAGGAATTTGTTCCCGGCATCTCTTTAAATGTTGGATTGTGAGCTCATCTTCAGTGGGATTTTGTTCTGTGGTAAGTCCCAACTGCCTAGGTTGGGGGAAAGTCCCTCTGCAGCAACTTTGCGTGTGATGCTTCCAGATATCTCGGGAATAGCACCGGGTTTTGACCAAGTTTATGTTAGTTTCTTAGCTAGAAATTCAGACTCCAAACCTACTTAAGGAACAAGACTTGGGTTGTGATTTCTTATAAGAAAATTTTGCTCTGCCTGGAAATCAGCAAGAAATAAGACCTTTTTTTAATTGTCTCTCTCTGGTGGTGAGTAGATTTTTTTCTATTTTCCATTTGCTGAGTGTGTAGCCCTGGCTGTAAGCTGGGGTTTCCATAACGCCTCCCTCTTCACAAGGTCTTGTCTGCCATTTGTGCATAGTCAGTAGGAAAACAGTTTCTTGCTTTGTATCTTTGTATTGGAACCAACTTCTCGCCTCCCAATTTGTTCAGCTGCTTAAAGAGCACTTGTAGTTCCAATATCTGACACCTATAAAACCCATCTTTCATGCAGGCTTAGGTGGTGTCTTAAAATTTTTTTGCTATATTTTATTCAGTATTTCTAGATATAGTTGCTGGAATGTGTGTCTATTAGTTTAGACAATCACATTGCCAAAAGCAAAGTCCTCTCATCTGAATCATGCATTCTTACTCGATGGGTTCAATTGGGTGGGAATGGAAATGTTCACCTACCTGTGTGCCAATGGCCTTTTGCTTTTAACAGCTTTATTGAGAAATATTTCACATACCATAAAATTTACCCTTTAGAGTAAATAATTTGATGGGTTTTAGCCCATTTATAGAGTTGTACAACAATGACCTCAGTCAATTTTAGAACATTTTTATCACCACAGAAAAGCCAAACCCATTAGTATTCACTGCCCCCTTACTCCTACCCAACCCAGCCTTAGGCAATCACTAATGTACTTTCTGTCTCTTTGAATTTGCCTATGTGGGACATTTCATATAAATGGAATCATACAATATGTGCCCTTTTATGCCCAGCTTCTTTCACTTAGCACTATTTCCAAGGTCCATCTATGTTGTAGAATATATCAGTACTTCATTCCCTTTTATTCTTGAATAATATTCCAGTGTATAGCTAGACCACATTTTGTTTATCCATGTTGATGGACATTTGCATTGCTTTCACTTTTTTATTATGAATAATGTTGCTATAAACATTTGTGTACAAGACTTCATGTAAATACATGTTTTCATTTCTCTTGGGAACATATGAAAAAGGTAACTTTTAGATCATATAGCAACCCTATTTTAACTTTTTGATGAACTGGCAAACTGTTTTCCAAAATAATGGCACCACTTTACATTCTCACCTGCCACGTAGTATGAAGGTTCCAGACCTTTCTTTTGATGCTAAGATGAAATGCATCCTATAGAATCTCATGTTAGGTTCATTCTACAGAGTCTTGTGTTAGGTAGAATATAAGTGTTCTGATGCTTAGATCCTCCCCCTTACTGGATCATTCTCCTTGGATGTTCTACAAACACGTCACATCCAACAAGTTCTAATAGAAATCATCATTTCTCCCTTTCTCTAAATGTGCTTCTCTTGTATTCACTATCTCGCTCAGTATAGAAATCTGGGAATTATTCTAGATGCCCAAATTTCACTCATGCCTTCACTTTTAACTAGTCAGTAAGGCCTGCCTTTTCTTTCCCCAGAAAAGTTCACAAACTCATAATCCTTCTCTGTGTCACAGCCTCAGTTCTTTTTCTCACTTAAACCATTGCCATGGCCAGTGGCCTCCCGGCCACCCACCAACCAACCCACTGTGTGTGTGGTCATTGTACACTGCAGAATGCAAATCCAATCATATCTTTCCCCTGCTTAATCTTTCTCGTGCTTCCCTGTAACTTACAAGATAATAAGCAAACTCCACAACAGAGTATCCAGAGCACTTTGAGATCTGGCCTGCTCCCTTCTCTCCAATTGTACAGCTTGCCATTCCCATCACACAACCTCTGCCCCTACCATGCCTAGCTCCTTCCACTCCCTAAGCTAACTCTGCTAACTCAAACTACAGTTTTTGGAGTACATTTATCCAATTTGATCACCGTATTTGAAGGATGGCCAACTTTTATTCTCATTTTACCAGTGATGAAACAGGCTTGATGAAGAGGTCTGCCCAAAGTTATACAAATGCTAAAGAAAAAAGCCTGGTGCTCATTTCCAGGTTTTCTGACTTTAAGGCACTCAGTGTTTCCCCACACTAAGCATAGAGCAATCACTGAGCTTTGCTCCCTCCTGAATCTCACTGTGTTCTCTCTTACCCGGGGTCCTTTAGCATGTCACCTTCATTCCCTCCACCTGTGCACTCTCTAGTCCCTTGACTACCGCATCATCAGACTTTACCATGCAAGTTCATTTTTAATTATATGTTACTTTGTGCTTTTTCATAGTCCTATGCCATGACCCCCATCTAGTTGAGGCCTGGCCTTCAGTTTGTGCCCAGTGATAGGTCTTGGTAGGAACTCAATTACCATTGCTTGACTGATTGTTAGCTTTTTCCCTGAGCAGACTTCTAGACTTTAGCTATAAGGATTCCCTATAAAGCACAACACTATATATCATCTCATATTAGGACATTTTTACAGTTTCCACTCAACATATTACAATATACTAGTACTTTATATTACTAAATATGTTTAGGTTTTAGGACTGAAAACATACTACTAATTATTATTTTATTTATTTACTGACATCAGGCAGTATTTATTGATTCTTAATGCACACAATTTTTTAAAGAATGTCAAGGAATTACAGTGACAATTAAAGTGGACTTTCACACTTTGAGTTCACACACCATTTTGCCAACCCCAGAAGTGGATGGTTCTTGATTTTCTTTAAAGAACTCTTGGCTTGGCATCCTCTGATAGTATCTTAAGTCTCACTGGAATATAAGTCTCACTTATATTTACTCAGAGGTAAAACTTCTCGTCAGTCACTGCTTTTCTATTGTCTTATATAGTCTTTTATTTGTGCCAAGTGCTTTAATATTTTGGGGCTTTTTTCTCTTTCCCAAAAGCTCTGTGAAATAGATAGCACAGTTTACTGATGTGTTATAGAAAAGAAAAATAATAATCCATTCATCTACAATCAGACTGCAGATTAACACGGAGTCAGAATTAGAATCTGTAGCTCCCAAAACCTGTACATGGCCCAGTATGTTATAATTTTATGCTATATATGTTTTCTCTTTTTTGATTTTTCTTGATGTTCATATCAAAGGTTTTAATCACCTCCCAGTTACTAAACTTTCCATTTAAAAAATGTAGGAAAGTTTATGAAAAAAGGTCACTGTTAAATCTCTAAAACAGGTACCAAATAAAAAGTTATATTGGATTGTTTATTATTAAACTTCCTGAAATTCTACAGAATATAACTAAATTTTAGCAGAATTTACTCATGGATATTCAAATGATGCAGAACAAAAGATCTTGACTAGTTTATTCTCTCCTTTGGAACAATTGCATGTTATAACCAGTATGTTATATAGAACCTTTAACAATGAAGTCTGTACTAACCTAAAATCATTATCATAACTTACACATTCTTGCTCATAGTACAGGTCTGACATCATTTGATTGATTAGCACTCCAAATTTAGGTAGTATGCAATAATTGCATCAATGTTGAAAGTATGGTTCTAGTTAGCTGCTCAACCTCTTGGTTATCTATTAGTTGAAGAGACAAATAAGTGTTAATTCAAAAGTTATTTCAGGCCACACGTGGTGTCTCATGCCTATAATCCTAGCATTTTTGGAGGCCAAGGCAAGAGGATTTCTTGAGCCCAGAAGTTTGAGACCAGTCTGGACAACAAAGTGAGATCCCATCTCTATATTATATAATTAAACTTTTTTTTTTTTTTTGAGGTGGAATCTTGCTGTGTCACCCAGGCTGGAGTGCAGTGGCATGATCTTGGCTCACTGCAACCTCTGCCTTCTGAGCTAAAGTGATCCTCCTGCCTCAGCCTCCCAAGTAGCTGGGATTACAGGTGCATGTCACAACACCCAGCTAATTTTTGTATTTTTAGTAGAGACAGGGTTTCACCATGTTGGCCAGACTGGTCTCGAACTCCTGACCTCATAATCCACCTGTCTCAGGCTTCGAAAATGCTGGGATTACAGGTGTGAGCCACCACATCCAGCCTAAATATTTTTTAATAATTTTAAAATAATGCAATCTAAGTAGTAGATGACCAGCTAATTAAGTTGTCTGATTATTGAAATCCTAACTTTCAAATGCATACTTAATTATTCCTCTTTGTGTCACTTTGAAAAATCCCTTTTAGCACCAAGACCTGTATGAAATCCCCTAATTTTTGATCTATGAAATATTTACAAGAATTGCTCAGAAACACCTGTGTTCTCTCTCCTTTCTCTCTATCTCTCTCCCCCTTTCTTTCACACACACTGAATCCATCATTGTTTCATCATTACCTCCAAACAATCCTCTTGCTCATGAGCAAATGGCATCATGTCAGGTAGAACTCACATCTTCAAGAAACAGAACTATGCTGCCTCCAGAACTTTAACTTTAAAAAAAGAAGTCTTTGTAATTAGGTACATATTCAACAACTGACATTGGGAAAATGGGAGGCAGTTTCACCAAAGAAGTCCGTTAGAGTAAGTTGTTTTGTTCCCTTCCAATGACAAGAATACAAATAATGTTGACTTGTGATTATGGTGAAAAGGGTGTTTTGGTACTTGATCCAGCTATGATTGCTAACTTGAAACTTTGAGCTGTTGAATCAGATGATTTTGGTCAGTGCTATCCAATAGGAACTTAATGCAAGCTGCAAGTGCAAACCCCAAGTGTAATTTTAAATTTTCTAATAGCCACATTTAATAAACCACCTATTATTAAGACACATGCATGCATATGTTTATTACAAAACTATTTACAATGCCAAAGACTTGGAACCAACCCAAATGCCTATCAATGATAGACTGGATAAATAAAATGTGGCACAAATACACCAGGGAATACCATGCAGCCATAAAAAAGGATAAGTTCATGTCCTTTGCAGGGACATAGATGAAGCTAGAAACCATGATCCTCAGCCAACTAACACAGGAACAGAAAACCAAACACTGCATGTTCTCACTCATAAGTGGGAATTGAACAATGAGAACACATGGACGGAGGGAGGGGAACATCACACACTGGGGCCTGTCGAAGGGTAGGGGGCTAGGGGAAGGTGAGCATTAGAACAAATACCTAATGCATGTGGGGCTTAAAACATAGATGACAGGTTGATAGGTGCAGCAAACCATAGCACATGTATACCTATGTAACCTGCATGGTCAGCACATGTATCCCAGAACTTAAAGTAAAATTTAAAACAATAATACATTTTAAAAAATAGGTGACACTGGTTTTAATAATACATTTTATTTAACAAAATATATCCAAAATATTGTCATTTCAACATGCAATAAATGTAAAACATATTGAGTTATCTTTCATTTGAAGTCTGTGAAATCTTGTGTGTAATTCGGACTTACAACACATTTCATTCGGACTAGCCACATTTCAAATGCTCGATAGTCACTTGTTGCTAGCAGCTACTGCACTGGACAGCACAAATATAGATCTTCTCTTGCCAGCCTTCTATGGAGTAGCAACCAAAAGCATTTCTTATGCAAGATTTGTAATGTATTTAATTTGTCCACAGTTCTCATTACAAAGAGATGCCCAGCCATAAATCAACCAGTTAGCAGCTGCAATAACAAACCAAAAAGAGGCCAGCATGGTGGCTCATGCCTGTAATCCCAGCATTTTGGGAGGCTGAGGTGGGCAGATCACAAGGTCAGGAGATTGAGACTATCTTGGTCAACATGGTGAAACCCCATCTCTACTAAAAATACAAATATTAGTTGGGCGTGGTGGTGCGCACCTGTAGTCTCAGCTACTCGAGAGGCTGAGGCAGGAGAATCTCTTGAACCCGGGAGGCGGAGGTTGCAGTGAGCCGAGATTCTGCCACTGCCTCCAGCCTGGTGACAGAGCAAGACTCTGTTAAAAAAAAAAAGAAAGAAAGAAAGAAGAAAAAAAAAGAAAAAGAAAAAGAAAAAAAAATTTGCTTGTCTCTCTCTTTTTGCTTCTAATAATAAGGTTTTATCCTCCATGCCAGCCAAAGTACTTAGCTAAAAGGATAACCATCAAATGACTCATTTCATCTGTTTTCCTCCTCTGAAGCAAACAAACAAAAACAATGGCAGAAACCAGTCTCTGCTGTCTTGCAACCACCACCTGGGTATCTCCCTTTTGTCATAGAGATGCATGTCAACAACTTGAATGACAGCCACGTAGGAGAAGTGGGGAAGAGTGGAGTGTGATTCACCAAGCTCAGCGCCCAGGGGCAAAGATTGAAAACCCATGATATGAGCTAGCACAGAAATCACATTGGAAGGTTGATTCCTTAAGTATGTTCCACGTTCCATCCTTCGTCCCATTCAGAAACGTTACTCCCAAAATACACCTAACTGTGCAATCCAATATTCTGTGGAGGGAAAAATACTTCCTGATTTCATGCTCTACCGCATTCAGATTGATAGGCCTGTAATTTTACCCAAAGTGGAGCAACCACAAATGCTCTCTTTTTTTTCCATATATAAATGTTTAATCCCTTCTAGAAACATGCTGTGCTGCAAACCAGAGTGATATCTCATCATCGTGGGTTCCACAGGTTAATTACACACTGCTAAAAAAGAAAGAAAGAAAGAAAGAAAGAAAGAAAGAAAGAAAGAAAGAAAGAAAAAAAGCCTAATTTATTAAGTCATGAATATAGACACTTCCAAGAAAAAATAAAAACTCTGTATTCCTATTCCTAAGTAAGGAGATAATAGAAAACTTAGATGTGTTTGGGTGGTTGTGATCAGACATAAATTTGGGGTGTGGTGCAATTTTCATATAAGTGGGTTGTTGTATCTGGTGTGAGTTAGTGTTAGGCAAGTCATTTATCTTCACTCATCATTCCAAACATATAAGAAAGACGAGGGAAGGAGGCATAGGAGAAATCAATTGTAAGAGAAACTTGTGAGTTAAAGAAATTGGCTGTACTGCATTGAAATCTAATAGAATGGTGCAGTGGAATTTGGTTTGTTCTGCTTGCAAGTTATACTTGTATTGCTTTAGATATATAACCTATGAGCTACTCTGCTAATGTCAGTTTCTTGAGTGGTAATACATCTATCTGTTGTCTATTCTGATTAAATGGGGAAGTATGGTCTCACATTTTTTTTAGTAGTATAAAGGTGATCAGAATGCACTCATACTTTCTTGAACAATAAGTGCAATACATCAAATTTAAATGAAATTTTAGGGCCAGGTGTGGTGGCTCACAACTGTAATCCCAGCACTTTGGGAGGCCGAGGCAGGTGGATCACTTGAGTTCAGGAGTTCGAGACCAGCCTGGGCAACATGGTGAAACCCTTTCTCTAGTAAAAATACAAAAATTAGCTGGGTGTGGTGGCGCATGCCTGTAATCCCAGCTACTTGGGAGGCTGAGGCGAAAGAATTGCTTGAGCCCAGGAGGCGGAGGTTGCAGTGAGCTGAGATCACATCACCGTACTCCTGCCTGGGTGATAGAGCGAGACCCTGTCTCAAAAAAAAAAAAAATAAAGTAAAATAATGAAATGAAATGAAATTTTTGGTGGTTTTAATTATGTCAGAACTTGGTCCTTTTCATCTTAATACAAGAGTTGAAAACAAAAACCAACTTTCATATAGAAAGATGTCTTAATGAGTCTGAGCTCAGAATCAAGACACTTGGTATGACAAAGGATTAGTTTCTGATTAGTGAAAACAGAGATGAAATTGGGATTGCCCTAGAAATGATAATGGCAAACAGTTACATAAGCACATGCATCTGGCATTTACTATTATTCTAGGTGCTTTGCATTATATTAGCTTTAATTCTTACAACAGCCCTCTGATGTAGGTACTCTTTCTTTTTCCTTCTTCCTTTACATATGAGAAAATGTAGGCACAAAGAGGTTAAATAACTTTTTCAAGGCCACCCAGTTTTTAACTAGGAGCTGAGATTCAAAATCCAGGCTGGAACCTGAGGCTGGCCCTCAACTGCCTCTGTAACGTGTGGTCATTATGCCCATGAGTGAGCAGAATAGCATTTCTACAAAGTCCTTAGGTTGAAAGTTTTATTGCTCTTTAGAATATCTTCTTCCCTTTGCCCCAAATTTCTATTAGTAGGGTCCATCCTTCCAATAAACAACTACCAAGGATTCCCTAATTAAGTGCAAATGGTGTCAGACATTAATGTTTCTATAGCTTACACTGTAGCCCAAAATGTTTAGTAGCTATGATGACAATTTTTAAATATTTCTTAGCTATAAGGCATAAAATCCTGAGGAAGTTCAATACAGGAGAGATAAGTTTCTTGGATCAGAAGAAGGGGATCCAGAAAAGTATGGAATCAACCTGGGGATATCAGGAAAGAAAAGTATATGTAAGAAACAAAGCAAGAACGCAAAAAAAATGATAATAATACATGACCTTGGTGTATCTATATTCAGCTGAAAGTGAACCCTGTCCAAAGCCCAATGAGGTATTAAAAAGCCCAACCCAATGAAGAGTAAACAAAAATTGACAGCTAGATGTTAATGTAAGCATCCCATTTTTACATTTCTCTATTAATTACTCTGCAGATATAATAATAATAATAATAGCAAATATATTTCAAACATATATGGACCAGGCTGTGTTCCAAACATTTTGCTAGGATTATTTTATTAAATGCTCATATAACCAACCCTGTACAAAAGTTAGTATTAGTGTCATCATTTTAAAGATGAGAATACTGATTTATTTATTTATTTATTTATTTCGAGATGGAGTCTCACTCTGTTGCCCAGGCTGGAGTGCAGTGGTGAGATGTCAGCTCGCTGCAACCTCTGCCTCCTGGGTTCAAGTGATTCTCATGCCTCAGCCTCCTGAGTAGCTGGGATTACAGGCACCCGCCACCATACCCAGCTAATTTTTGTATTTTTGGTAGAGACGGGGTTTCACCATGTTGCCCAAGCTGGTCTTGAACTGCTGACCTGAGGTGATCCACTTGCCTCAGGCTTCCAAAGTGCTGGGATTACAGATGTGAGCCACTGTGCCTGGCTTGAATTATAATATTATATTATATTATGATATATATTGATTTTTAGCATAATCAAAATTCTATGTGGTATGCAAGATGACTAAAAGTGACATAGCAGACTTAGTAAATAATAGGAAAAATGTTTAAGGGATCGTTAAGATTCCCCATTTCTCTTCAATATCTTTCTAATATTTGATCTCTTTACAAACAAGCCACTAGCCTGCACTTGTAGCTATAGTATTACTTTTAAAATAAATAATCCTTTTATTGGAAAGCTTTACAGTGTAGAGAGAGGTAGAGGAAATTTGCATGTGTTATATATTTTCAGTATCCACCTTCTCTTTCCCCATCCTTAAACAGTGATCAATAGTCACAATGCAGTTAAAAGTTTGTACTTTAAAATTGAGTGTGAGAGTTAGCTCCAACTCAATATCCTGCAACTGGTTCATGTAGATGATCACAGAAGGCAGCTCACAGATAGATGGTCCCCTAGGCTCGAAGGACAGAGGGTCATCTTGTAGTTCCTTCTAAATAACTTCTCCTGAAAAGGAATAACCTCCCCTTTTAAGTTTAGCTTCCTGTGGAAATTAACTCTGAGTCCCCTGGAAAAATACTACTACTGCAAAGCAGGATTAATTTTTTATATTCCAACATGCTGGACCTTTACTTCAGTGGTTCTTAATCTTTTTGGTATCATTCACTCCATGGAGAAATTCATACAAGCTGAGAAAGATCTCCTCCAAAAAAAGCACGTAGACACATACACAAATTCCATAAACCCAATGAAGCCTCTATCTGCTGCACCCTCTGTAAAAGGCCCAGATTAAGAACAATTGAGTTCAATCCAAAGGCTAAGAGATATTAAATGTCAGGAGTGGGGCGGGGGCATGTATCTTTGAAACATCTAAATTCATGGAACAAGAACATCCTTAGCTCCTACTTGGATGCTGGATTCTATCATGAGACACATTTATTTTAATAACCAACTAGAACAATGAATTATCTTTCAAACACTTCACCATTGGCCTTCTCTTTATTTTATAGTGATGTGTCCTTTCACAGTGAGTCTCTCTCTTAGGAATATATACAAGAGAATGAATCAAGTTCACCTGTAATATAAGGAGAAAGGGATGTTGTTAATTAACAGCAGGGCAATTCAAACTTCTTCTTAGCCCTCGGGAGGAATACCCAGGTGCGCTGAGACAGATATGCTTGGAGAAAGAAAAGAGATGCTCTATAGTCAAACACACAGCACCAGGCCTTCTTTCATGAATTGATTTTCCCACTGGGTGACATCCTGGCAATTCCTGTTACCCAACCAATGATATAACTAAGTAGATGAAGCTGAAAGCTGGGTCAGATAAAAAAAGAATGTTTAATCTAACAAAAGCAGCCTCAGTTTTTGCCGTGAAGGGAAGCTGATTTAACAGGCAGTAGCAGATTAAATAGGAAGCAGAACCAGGGAGAAAAAAATCATATTAAACCATTAAAAAATGAAGATAGAGGAATGTCACAATGCCAATTATTTGGAGAAAAAGCACAACATTACCATAGAACTTTCAACAATAAGATAAATGATATCTGCTTAAGATGTACAAAAATAGGTCTTTTGTTCGCAGTATATATTTTAAATTAAATGCTATTGTTTAATTAATAGACTGTAACTTTATGTATTAAAAGCATAAGGTCATATGACTATTTTAGGCCACAAAGTTACTTACTCTGAATCTCAAAAACAGGAATAGCCAATGTGTTTCAAATTATGGAACATTAGCCACCTATACTCAAATTATCAGGGGTATTTTTTTTTAATTCAGATTCTTGGGCTCCATTGACCTATCCAAAACTGAATTAAAAACTTTATGGGTAAAGTTTGGGAATCTTCATTTTAACAACTTCCCAGGTAAGAAATGTGCTAAAATATGAGAACCATTAATGTGTACCCTCATTTGGAAGGCTCCAGGAAACACCATCATAAGAAGGTAGCTCTCCAGGCCGGATGTGGTGGCTCACGCCTGGAATCCCAGCACTTTGGGAGGCTGAGGCGGGCAGATCACCTGAGCTCAGGAGTTCAAGACCAGCCTGGCCAACACAGTAAAACTCTGTCTCTACTAAAAATACAAAAATTAGCCAGGCATGTTGGCAGGCATTTGTAATCCCAGCTACTCAGGAGGCTGAGGCAGGAGAATTGCTTGAACCTGGGGGCAGAGGTTGCAGTGAGCTGAGATCACACCACTGCACTCCAGCCTGGGCAACAGAGCGAGACTTCATCTCAAGAAAAAAAAAAAAGGTAAGTAGTTCCCCATAGGAACACCCTTTATTTCCCCATTGCTATAGAATAGGATTCATCTCTCTTGTTCATTCTCCTTCCTCCCCACCACTAAAAGCTCCTTTATTATTTGGTAGGTCTCACCCTTATCTTATTCTTCACCCTAGTGATAGCCCAGAATGGTTTCTGGAGGGCTCTTCACCTCCTCTACACTCTTATCTTTTCTTTAATACTCCTAATTGGTGAGATATTTCTCTCTGGTTCACTCCATTACAGCTCCCAGGTTCCCATGGCAGAGCTCTATCTCATCCCCACTGTCAAAACAGCTGGTTTGATGACATTGAAATAAAAGGAATTTTACTTTCATCTTTTATATTTCCAAAGACCCACCCATCTTTCCCCCATATATCTTTTACCTACTAAATCTAAGTGGAAAAATAAAAAGGGAAGGGGCAGGGTTGTAGAAATGAATCTTTTTTTAAAAAAATCTGTTCTGTTTATTATTAAGGCTGTAGTCAAATTCCCAAGGATCAGAAAGAGATTGAAAGCAAAGGACATAACAAAGTCAAGGGAAAACAAGAGGTCAAATTCTTGTATCACTCAGAATAAAGAGGTAGCCGGAGATTGAATGCTAGACCAAGAATAGCCATTCAGGACTTCTGTTGGTAAGAGGTCCCTCACCTCCACATCCGACCCTCAATTTCTCGCTTCAGAGTCCCAGCCCTCAATTCCTGCTCAATCCGTCACACCATCACCCAACTCCAAGCTTCAGTTTGCAAGTTGGAAGAATTTGAAGCCATCCAACTCATTGCTCAATAGAGAATAGCAAGTTAGAGGTAGGAATAAGCCTTCTTTTGAGTAGAAATGCTCTATTATCACAAGATGAATGCTAAACCTTTTCCTATAGAGACTCTTCACTGACATTCTATAATTTCGTTTGTAGCATGTCACAGTCAGATTCAATCTAAGCTTAACAATCTTTTGTTAGTCAACTTGAAACATAACCATTGTTAATTCATTTAATCAATTAGATTCTATTTACAAAATTAAGACCAGTTCTCTGAATAATCACACTGTTTTATCATAACCAATTTGTATGTGTTCAGCTGCCTCTAAACATAGAAGCCAACTGTGGCTTCTTAAAAACCAATGGGCTTTGCGTTTAAATAAATCTTAGTTTAATTTAATCTCTGCCACCCACTCACTGCATAACTTGGAAGATGTTTTTCAGCCTTACTATGTTCAAGTTCCTACATCCATAAAGCCATAAAGTGAGGATGAAAATATGTCTCTTGAATAAGTTCTTGTGAAGATTTAATTGACAAATATTTATTGAATTTTTCTATATGTCAAGCACTAATGACACATAGACCATGCCCTTAAGTAACATGAAGTCTGTCTGGGAAGACTCACAGGAAAGCAGTCAATTCTATTACCCTGTGGTAAGTGCCCTGGAGATGGTGGAGGTGGTGGTGACTAAAGAGCAGAAACATCTTAGAACAAAACCTGAATTGTTCTTGGGGAGAAGAAATGTTCAGGGCAGGTGTTGTGGAGGTGATGACATCTAAAGAAGAAGCTGGTATTTGGAAAGAGGGATGGGACTGGGGGTGTGGTGGGAGGGTGGCTTGTCAACACGGAGAGGACATCAAGAGCAAGTCCGAGAGGCAAGCCAGACACCATATGCCAAAGATTTGCAAGCAGGCAGTCTGACCAGGGAAGAGAGGCGCAGTGAGAGTGTGAGGAGCAGGGAGGAAGAGTTCGACTCCAGACAGTGGACAGGTAGGAAGCCATCAGATCCAGAAGAGCATTTCCTGTGCCAGGATGGGCTAGACTGCTAGACTCATGTCCCAAAGACATGGGCAGGATGGGCTAGACTCATGTCCCAAAGAATGGCATCAGGCAGGAAAATGATCACCCTCAGATTCTCTGCTTAGGAAGATCACTCTAACAAAAGTGAAGATGAGCTGTCAGAGGCGGTATCTGGCACTTAGTGGGTTCCAATGGGGGACAGCTGGCACTGTTTATTAAATCATTTGCCTCCTGTTGATTGGGATAACACAATTGTTCTCTTTAGGGGTTACTTTTTTAAAATTTTTTTTGTCAGAAAATATATTTATTATTGGTAGTGAGTGAAGTAAAGATGTCAGTATTCACGATAGACGTTATATAAGCCAAGGTTGCCTTTATATTGATAAAAATACCTTATTTCACTTCTAATCATACATATTAGTCCTGTAAAAGAGGTACATCATCTCTCCTTTTTGTTTCCTTGCTTGCATGATCACCAAAAGTTAAAATGAAATCACTCTTATGTAATCAAAGGTAAAAAGAAAAAGCAAGAAAACCAACATGCCACGGCCTAGACAATTCCACCCAGCACTGCTGCCCTGAGAGCTATGTTTTCTGGTGCTCTCCTCTCCACACTCCAATTACTTTAGCCCCACACCTCCACCTCACCCCATCACACTTTGTTAGGGTGGAGGTTCACCAAATGATGGGGCTTGCTTAGAAGATAAACATTTTATGTTCAGTAGAATTTGAATAGAAAGTACCAAAAGGTGGAGAGGGCTGCCCTTCTCTTAATCATCGTAAGAGGGGTTTACTAATACTGAAGAGCATCCTTTGATGACTGATCCTGATCTAGGTTTTGGCCGCCCTTCAAATTGCTGCCAATGGAAATGTGGTATGATTCTGTTGGATCCATTGTCCGCTGTCTCTTTTGAGTGGTCTTCTCATTAGTGCTCGTCTCTTTAAATGGGTTATTTTCTTACTAGGAAAAAAAATATTCCCTCTCTGAAATTAACGTTGAAGGTGTTTTGCTTGTTCTAAAAGTTGTTGATACTTTTTTCTCAAGCATGCTCTGTTTGGCATGATTGACGTAGTGCATATACCGGCTGGCCAGAGTGGAGCATTTGAAGGTCTGGTGGGTGTTCTCGTAGTAACACTGAAGAATTTTGGCCTGGAGGTCAGCATAGACTGGATGAGACTCATACACTTGAACCGTGCTTCCACGTCTTCAGCAATTTTCTGATATTGTTCAGTGGTGACTTTGTAGAACTCTGAGCTCCTCTCCTCCAGTCTAGCCAGCTCCACTTTGCAGAATGCAACCTGCTTCTTTAGCACTCGGCCTTTCTCTTCCAGCCGCCTAGCAAGGTGCATTGCCTTAGTGCCTTCCTCTTGGCTTGATACCCTCTCTCGAGGGATGGCTCTGGTTAACTGCCCATTGGCAGCAGCCCTCTCTCTCTCCAGCTCTGTGGCTTGCTTTAGTCGTTTCTGATCTTCAGTTTGTTTCTTGGCTTGTTCCAATGTTAGCTCCTCAGCTACTCTTCTTTTCAATTCTTCATCAGAAACCAAGGCATCATAAGCACCAGAATACCACTGAGACTTTGAACCAGATGGAGAGGATTCCTTCATTCAATCAATCACATTTTCTGAAAGCTCAATGCCCTTCACCACAGTGATGGGTGATGTTCTCATTCTTGTCCACCTCGAAGGTGACCCGATGAGTGCTCAAGGTCCCACCCGTGGCTCCTGTTCCTGCCCCCACAGAGATCTAGTACAGAACCACAAGCACTTCAGTTCCCCCGTGCCCACACTCGCGTGGAGGGGCCTGGATTCTTTTCCCCCAGAGCAGGAGCAAGGCCACGACCTAGGGGATACTCTTCAAGTGAGCTTTGTCTTCCTGAGGCAGTGTGTACATTGTGTAATGCATTGTAAATTATGTTATTGGCATTCTACTCATCCAATTCTGAATAATGTCAGAATTTAACATCTGAGAAACAGCTCATGACCATTGATGTTGCTATAAACACACCTGGGGTTAAGGCACTGTGGGTCTGGTTCCTTGCTAAGTCTATGGTGGTGACGACTGCCTGCAATTCAGATTGGCATTTTAAGTACTCAACTGTTTTTAGGAAGAGGGAAGACAGTTGACTGATCACCATCATTACTCATTATGGTAACCTAAACTTGTCACCTTCCTCCTGCCAGTCACAGGAGTAACACCTGAGGCACAGGCCTGAAGCAGAACAAACCCACACAGACCCAACTCCAGGTGGAAGCCGAGGGCCTAGAAATGCCAAAGTTATTTTCTTGTCTCCTGGTGACGCTACGCAGCTTTGCTTTGCTGTTAATAAAAAATAATTGCTTTTGGTTGTCACTTTTTAAAATTTTAAGACTAAAATTGAATGCCATCTGCCAGAGCTTTGCTTATCGTACAGGAGAGAGGAGCATGGTAAGGTCATTTATTTTTCCTAATGTTCATGAGACATGAGTTTGCAGCATTGAGCATCTTGATCACCAATTAGCTTGAAAACATTCATCGTATTTTACCAATAATCTCTCCAAGAGAGACATGTACTCTGATCCATAGATGAGTCACTGGCCATCTCTAATACACAAACGAGAAAGTCAAATATGAATGCTACCTGTTTCCTTGTGAATCACTCCACAATCAAGTAACTGCCAGTGTGAAAAAACCACAACAGTCGAGATCCTTCCACCCATGACGTAAGATTTATTTGTACAAGTCTGCTTAATTTTTATATTCTATCCATGCCTTAATACTCATGACATTATTTTGAAAGTTCTCATTTTCTTGTCTTTGTTTCTTTTTTCTCTTTTTTTTTCTTACTTTGGTTATCATTTAAAAGTGGCCACATTTATTCAGAGGCATTCTGCAAACGTATATCAAGTGCTTTTTAAAATATTTTAGCACTGTGATAAGTGTTATAAATGTAGCAAATAAATGCAAAATGTTTAATGAAAAAAGATACCTATGCATGTTGAAAAGATCCAAAGAGATGTGAAAAGATCTGTATGTGCTTTTTTTTGCTCATTCTATTATTATTATTATATAGTTGTCTGTGCTGTTTATTAATGAGTACTACTACTAATGATAATATTTATTCAATGCTTCCAGTGTCCTATAAATGTACAAATACCTTACATCTATTATGTTGTTTAATATTCCCAACAAATCTATGAAGTACTGAGTATTATTAGCCACAGTTTACAGATAAGGAAACTACAATGTAAAGAAACGATATGACTTGTTCATGACCACATAATTCCGATGTGGTAGAGCCTCTGATTCACGGACTCCATGTTCGGTTCACTTACCCCTTTTGTGCTGCCACAGTGAATACGAAAATAAATGAAATATATATGCTGACCTCAAGAAAAGAAAATTCCAATTGCAAAGAGAAAACTATACATGCATAAAACACTGAATTGTGATATGAGAAAATATAAGGGCTGCCATTAAGCCACTGCCAGTTGAATAGAGCAGAGTCAATAAAAATTCAAAGGTGGGTACGATTCCACAGACTGGAGAGGCCCAAGAATCTTGATGGCTTTGGAGATTTTGAATTGGTTATACGTGGGTATAAAAGGATGGAGAATCCTGCAGGCCCTGGGAGGAAGAGGGCATACCATGGGAATGTCTATGAAGAGCATTGAGAGAGTGAGTCAGCCAGTTTGGCTGGGGAAAGTGGGAAAGGATTGAGAGACACAGGTCAGTTTGCAAAAGGTCTCTCATGTTAGGGCATTTGCCTTCAGCCAATGGGAAAACCAAATGGACACAGAAAGAGGCTTTCTGATGTCACTGAATGGGCAAGGGTTTCAGAGCCAAAAAGGCATAGACCCAATCCCATACTCTAGGTGTGACCTCAGGCAAATGACTTACTCTCGCGACACTTCAGTTTCTATAAAATAGAAATTAAAATTAAAATATTTACCTTGCAGGGTATTTTGTGGATTAGAGATCATTTGCATGCAGTACATAACACTATGCTTGGCACATAGTAATTTGTCAGTAAATAGCAGCTCTCTCACTCATTTTATTAACACAATTGTCACATTGATTCCATTGTTTAAAATACTTTTGATCTTCTCACTGATAATTTCCCTCAGGCAGAGACTATGTATTCATTGCAAAAGAAAATCTGATTTGTTATTTTTTTAAATGTGAATTTACTTTTTCCTACTATAAATGTACCAAAAATTCATTCATAATCCAAGCACCTTAACATTAGCATTTGGTAGGTTTTCTTTCATTTGCTTTGCAATGGGTATTACACGTTGTTTTAATACCCATGATCATAGTATTTCAATCATCAATACTCATCAATACATATTTCATGTATATCATACATACAAATCAATACATATTTCTTGTCATTAATTTTTATTGATCTATTTATTTCGTTAGATAATATTACAAAGATTGATAATGTACTTTACCAGATTCAATTCCAAATGGGCTTTTTAATTGTTACAAAATGTCAGATTTAACTCAGAAGTTAGAGATTTTTCTTGTGAATGCAAAATAACCCACATATTTAAAAAAATTCCTATAAAGCACAAGTCACTGTTCTAGTCCTCAAAGGGAGTTTCTAGACTAATAAGGTACAGTTCCTGCCTTCACTCTCACAGAGCTTCCTACAGAAGATAAAATAAAGTTATAAATAAAGTTAAAAATAGTATAAAATGATGTCCTAAGGGACCTGAATACAATTTCAAGATGTTTCCAAAGCTGTTATTTCACCATTTTGCACATTATTGAATATCTTGTAGAGCATCCCAAAGTTATCTTAACTGAGGGGGTCATAATTAATTGAGTGTATAAATCCAAGTGGATATGCTAGAAACCTGTTACTTTATTTTATAATCATTCTCCCTCCATCTGGAATGAGAACATATATGCACTTCCCCACACATCCACTTTGCCTGTCATTTCTGGCCATTCCGTGAACATTTTGTAACCTGTGAGAGAAAGAAGGCTTTGAAAAACAGGACCAAGTTCTTTTTTTTTAGGGATATACAATGTTGACAGAAATATACTCCAGAGGAATTTAATGCAGCTTTTTTTGGTTCCGGGCACAGCTCCTTTAGTGCATCAGTAAATGAAAAATGAGCACGGGAAGCTCCTGACAGTAGGAGAGGACCGCAGAGAGCCCTCGCCTCCAAACCAACGACTGGATTCTACTGTACAAACAGAGAAATGTCTGTGAACTCCTCACCTTTGAAAGGTAAACACTGAGAAGGAAATACTCCTCCCACGTGCTTTGAAGCATTCACCTTGTAAAAGGAAAAAGGACTTCTTTAAAGAGTTCTTCATGCAGAGAAAAGAGGAAGTTCTTTGAAGTCCAGGCTAATTTTGGGTCACCATGAAACCAGCCATCCTTCTATCTACAAGTTCCCCTGACCCTTTGGACCGAAACAATAGAAACACAACCAGGTTATTTCATCAGTGTGAACAAAAACTAAAAATAATAATCTCCAGGAAATGTACAAAAACCATAATCCCCAAGAGGCAGCTCTCTTTCACCCTTTTCTCTTCCCTTCTCATTCCTTAGCTAAAAGGTAAGCCATCCATTGGGGACAGAGTAATAAATAGATTTGTATGATAGGAAAGGTATGCCTGTGCCATGTACAGTGGCTCACCCCTGTAATCCCAGCACTTTGGGAGGCCAAGATGGAGGATCACTTGAGCCCAGGAGTTTGAGATCACTCTGGGCAATATAACAAGACCCTGTCTCTACAAAAACTAGGAAAGACAAAAATAGGCCAGGCGCAGTGGCTCACGCCTGTAATCCCAGCACTTTGGGAGGCTAAGGCAGGCTGATCATGAAGTCAGGAGTTTGAGACCAGCCTGACCAACATGGTGAAACCGCATCTCTACTAAAAACACGAAAATTAGCTGGATGTGGTGACATGTGCCTGTAATTCCAGCTACTTGGGAGGCTGAGGCGGGAGAATCACTTGAACCCAGGAGGTGGAGGTTGCAGTGAGCTGAGATCGTGCCACTGCACTCCAGCCTGGGCAACAGAGCCAGACTCCATCTCAAAAATAAATAAATAAATAAAAAAGATATATCTTCGTCAATGTAAGAGATCCAGATAATGTAACATCTCTTTGTTTTTGATTAATTCAGTACTCACAGCCAGGATCCAAGCTTTAAGTAGCCCTCTGATTTAACTTCAAATAATAAATTAAATAGCTATATTGAAGGCTCTCTGGGAAGAGCTCCAGGGAGACAACTGCGAATTTCTCAGAAGAATGGGCCACTTGGAATGTCCTGCTGATTCCTCGATTTCTCTGATTGGTGCACCAGACCCCAGCCCAATAGCTTCTGAGCTAATTCAATCCCTGCTGTTCTATCTCCTGCAGAGATGCTGAGCTACAATACTGTTACATTCTTCTGCGTAGTTGCAGCAAGGAGGAAAGGACCTTAGGCCATCTCCATGGCCAATGAATAGGTGTAGGTTATTTGCACCAGGAACTTTGAAATCGAAGTTTTGGAGGAATATAAAAGTTAAACATTTTTATTTTGTGACATCTAGTTATGCAATTGCCATGCTTGCTAGAAAGGATACATTTATTGTGACAAATAGGGTATCGGTGTGGCTCCCTCCCCTGCTTTTCTATGTCTATGGCAAAACCATTTGGTCAGGCTGGCATGGAGCTACCGAGGACAAGGTCGTGGAACTGTTTGCCATGTGGGCCCCCAGCTGTGACTCCCGCCGAATGACTGGCAATACCCAGCATACCCCATAAGTCACGGCTAGGAAGCTCTCAGTGCACAGAAATCTGGGCAAATAGAATTGAAAACTGGCATGATTTTTATCAGTTTGTAGAGACTTAGGCTGTATAGTCCATGATAAGTTAATATCTCTTTCTAAAAAAAAAATACCAAATGCTATATATAAATAATTAATTAGCTACTTCATAGGTTGCCTCATGCTTGAGAACTTGAAAGAAAAATTCTCAAAACTTTCTTCAATGTTTAGCATGGTTTCAAATTATGTAGGTCATCTTCCCTATATTCTAAATCTAGGAAAAACACTCTGAATATACACAATATAGTTATAGGACAAATAAAAGTACACACTTTAGGTAGCAGATAGGGAGGGTGTATACAGATCATTCCATCTCAAGATGCGGTTCAGATTGTAGAAAGGTTCAAGTAGAGTTAAACAAATTCAACAAACATTTTGTTCTTGATTAAATGCCAGACACTTATCTCTGCCTTTGTGGAAATTACAGGGGAGGAGTTCGGATGAAAATATACATATCGAGTCACAAAGGCTGCCAAAAGGTAAGTACGGAGTACTCCGTGGATGTTTTCTGAGTCTTTAAGGATAACAGAAAGGGATTTGATTATAAGGCAGTTGCTCAGAACACTTCCCCTTTGAGGAATGCCAGCTAACCACAGCAATGACTTAGTCCTGTATGACATTCTCATTTGTCTGTCTTAATCTCTTACATCTAATTTTATTTTTGCTGTTGTGAATTTGAAATCTTGATTTCACATATTTATTTGACGTTTTATATCATTTTCACCCCATAACATCTATTGGAGATAGGTATTTTTACCCAGATTTTACAACTTAGGAATCTGGTTTCATAATTTTCTCTCAGTAAAGTAACTAAAAATGAGTAGAACCAAAACCTGAGCCTGGTTAGTCAGAATCTAAGTCCTGTCAATTCTCCTGTATATCATACCAGTCACTGTATAGGCATTCCCAAAATGACAAATAGATCATATTCACATATTTTATTTTGAAATCTGAATTTAATCCCTACAGAAGTCACTTTTAAATGACGGTTGAGTTCCTGACTAGTTTAGGAAGGGTGATTTAACCCATAATGTAAAGGAATTACTGTAGACTTGTTAGACAGAACTCTGGAATAGGGGAACAAGAGATTTGTGATGACAGCCGTTCAAACAACCAGAGGCATTTGCCTTTTTACAAAAGGTGATTAGCGTGCAGAATGAAGCTATAATTGGTGAAATTGCACATTATATTTCAGAAGGAAGTAGAAAGAAACAGCCAGTGTAGGGAGAAGATCCTTTAGGATGAGAAGTCAGCCTTACCTAGAAATCTACCACTGAGGTCACTTCCACCTGAGACACTTTTGATTTTCATAGCTTCTTTTCTCCCTCCACCTAAAAAAAAAAAAAAAAAAAAAAAAAAGTGAAAAATAATGCATGTATAATAAAGTATACAACATATCAATATAGAATTCAGTGAATTACCATAAACTGAAAACCAGTGTAAACACCTCAGTGTTCAAGAAATAAAACAGTGGTGGTGATCTACAGTACTCCCTTTCTGCTGCATCTCACTCGAAATTCCTGCTGACCTGTACTGGAAAAAATACTCTGCCTACTTTTGTAGTATTCATTCCCTCGATCTTCTTTATAGCTTCACTACCTATGCATATATCCCTAAATTCTTTAATAAAGTTTTGCCTATTTGTTAAATTTTCTATAAATAGGATCACACAATAAGCATTTTTAAAAGTCTAGCTTCTTTCCCTCAACGTTGTTTGTGACATTCAACTATGTTGTTGAGCAGAGCGTTAATTCATTTATTTTCATAACAATATAAATGTCACTGGACAAGCACATCTACTATCATGTTGATGGTTTGGGGGTCATTTTCAGTTTTGGACAAGGAAAAATAATCCTGAAGTGATCATTCTTGTTTATGACAGTCACACATTTTCCTTGGGTATACACCAAGAAATGGAATTGCAGATCACAATGCTTGATTTAAATGCTTAATTTAAATTACTATACTATAACGAATTTACATTGATTAATGTAAATGTTTAATTTAAATAGATGAGGCCAAAATGCTTTTCAGTGTGCTTGTACCAATTTTTACTCCCACAAGCAAAGTGTTAGAGAGTTAATTCCAGTGTTTCTATCATTGGCAACAGTTGGTACTTGCTGTTTTCACTACAGCTATTCTGGTGAAAGAGTAGTGTTATATCACTGTGGTTTTAAACAGGATTTCCCTGGTTCCTAATAATATTATAAAATGGATAAGTTTACTGCCCAGTTGGGTAGCCTCATTATAAAAGTGCCAATTAAAGCTTCTTAGCTATTGGATCCTGTGTCTTTTACATTCCTGATTTTTTGGAGCTCATTATATTTTGGATATTTGTCAGTTACATGTGCTGCAAAATCTTTCTGCTCTGTGGCTTGCATGTTTACTTTCTTGTGTCTTTCAATGAGCAGAAGTTTTTACGTTTAATGTAACCTGAATTCTCAATCTTTTCCTTTATTGACAATAATTTTCATATAGTTTAAGAAATCTCTATATAACATAAAAATATTTTTCATGTATGATCTTCCAGAATTTATAGCTTAATACAATCCACCTGCCATCAATATTTGCATATGGTGAAAGATTGGGGTCAATTGTGATTTTTTTTATTGACACAGTATCATTTATCAAAAAGACCGCCACTGCTCTACTACTCAACGTTGTCAAGAACAAGTGTCCAAATACTCATACGTTTATTTCTGAGCTCTCTATTCTGTTCCAACGGTATAGCCTTTATATGGTTTGGCTGTGTCCCCAGGCAAATCTCATCTTGGATTGTAGCTCCCATAATTCCCGCGTATTGTGGGAAGGACCCAGTGGGAGTTAATTGAATCATGGGGGCAGGTCTTTCCCATGCTGTTCTTGCAATAGTGAATAAGTCTCATGAGATCTGATGGTCTTAAAAATGGGAATTTTCCTGCACAAGCTCTCTCTCTTTGCCTGTTGCCATCCATGTAAGATGTGACTTGCTCCTCCTTGCCTTCCACCATGACTGTGAGGCCTCCCCAGCTACATGGAACTATAAGTCCATTAAACCTCTTTCTTTTGTAAATTGCCCAGTCTCAGGTATGTCTTTATTAGCAGCATGAAAACAAACTAATACAAGCCTTGTGACAATACTTGACTGTCTTAGCTACTGTGTCTTTACAAATATGTCTTGATATTTACTAGAGCAAATCCTCCCATCTGGCACTTCTTCAGATAGTTCAATTTTTGATCTTTCTTTTATTTTTACAATTCATTTAGAATCTCTCTCTCGCTCTCTCACACACACACACACACACTCACACACACACACTCATAAACACAGAGTTTGTGGTTTGATTAAAATTGGAGACAGTTGACATTTTTGACATCTTTTGATGATATGTCCCAGTATGTATTAGATCTTTAATTTTTCTCAATAGATTTTTTAAAGTTTCCAGCAAGAACTTTCACATATTTGGTCAAACTTACTTTGATATATTTCATGTTATTTAATGCTATTGTAAACTTTATATTTTTAAAATTTTATATTCCATTTCTCATATATTGACTTTTAACAGCTTTATTAAAGTGTATTTTACATAAAGTACACATATTTAAAATGTATACCTATACGTTTTAAATATACGCATATTTAAAATGTATATTTAAAATGTATAAAATTTGATAAGTATTGACATACGTATACACCCAAGAGACCATCACAAAATCAAGATAGTGAACACATCCATCACACCCAAAAGTTTCCTTGTGACCTTTTGTAACCCTCCAACCTTTCCCCATGACCCTCTGCCCCCAGTCAAGTACTGAACTGCTTTTTGAACTACAGATTAGTTTTCATTTTCTAGAATTCTATTATTAATGGAGTCATACAGTATGTACATTTTTGTCTGACTTCTTTCACTCGCCATCATTATTTTGAGATTCTTCCATGTTGTTGCATGTGTTAAAGATTATTCATTTTGTCATTAAGGGGTATTCTGTTGTCTGGATATATCACAATTTCACTATCCATTAACTGTTGATATGCATTTGAGTTGTTTCCAGTTTGAGAGTATTACAGATAAAGCTGCTATGAACATTTGTGGACAGTCTTTGTTTGGACATATGATTTAATTTTTTCATGTATAAACACCTATAAGTGGAATGGCTAGAGTACATGGTAGGTATATGTTTAACTTTTTAAAAAAAATCATCATACTGTTTTTGCATATTAGTATCATTTTGTATTTCCACAAGCAGTGCATGGGAGTTTTCATTGATTCAAGTTCATCCCCTGTCTTTTCTTTTATTTATTTATTTTTAAGACAGTGTCTCTCTGTCATCCAGGCTGGAGTACAGTGGTATAATCACAGCTCACTGCAGCCTCAACCTCCCAGGCCCAAGTGATCCTCCTACTTCAGTCTCCTGAGTAGTTGGGACCACAGGCGTGCACCACCACACCTAACTAGGAATCTCTATATCTAGGGATGGTCCTCAAGCTCCTGGGCTCAAGCAATTCTCCTGCCTCAGCTTTGAGTTTGCTGGGATTACAGGCATGAGCTACTGTTCCTAGCCAATTTTAGATACTGTAATAGGTCTAGTCAGCGGAATTGTATCTATTAATAATTGCAGCTTTAATTTGCAATTCCCTAATAATTAATAATGTGGAGCATCCTTTCCTTTTTCTTATTTCCCATCTGTATATCTTCTTTGGTGAAATAGCTGTTCAAGTCATTTGCCTATTTTGTTTTATTGGATGTTTTAGTTTCTTATTGTTGAATTTTGATAGTTTTTTATATATGCTAAATATAAGTCTTTTATCAGAAATATGATTTGAAAAATCCCTTTTTCCAATCTGTGGCTTGTTTTTTCTTTTTTTAAATTTTTTAAAATTATACTTTAAGTTCTGGAATACATGTGCAGAATGTGCAGATTTGTTACATAGGTATACACGTGTCACAGTGGTTTGCTGCACCCATCAACCCATCGTCTACATTAGGTATTTCTCCTAATTCTATCCCTCCCCCACCCCCCATCCCCTGACAGGCCCTGGTGTGTGATGTTCCCCTCCCTGTGTCCATGTGTTCCCATTGTTCAACTCCCACTTATGAGTGAGAACATGTGGTGTTTGGTTTTCTGTTTTTGTGTTAGTTTGCTGAGAATGATGGTTTCCAGCTTCATCCATGTCCATGCAAAGGATATGAACTCATCCTTTTTTATGGCTGCATAGTATTCCCTGGTGTATATGTGCCACATTTTCTTTATCCAGTCTATCATTGATAGGTATCTGGGTTGGTTCCAAGTCTTTGCTATTGTGAACAGTGCCTCAATAAACATAAGTGTGCATGTGTCTTTATAGTAGAATGATTTATAATCCTTTGGGTATATAACCAGTAATGGAACTGCTGGGTCAAATGGCATTTCTGATTCTAGATCCTTGATAGTTTATGGTTTATTTTTTTTTTAATATATCATGCTGTTGGCATTGTAGCTAATACATTTTGTCTAACCCTAGGTGCTATGGACTGAATTGTGTCTCTCCCCAAACCCCACCAAATTTATGTGCTGAAACTCTAACTCCAAATGTGACTATATTTGCAGGTAATTAAGGTTAAATGAGGTCATACAGGTGGCATCCTGATCCAATAAAAGTAGTGCCCTTATAAGACCAGTCACCGGAGTCCTCTCTGTTTCTCTCTCTACCAAAGTAATGCCTTTCCCTTTTCTTGCCTATTGCATTGACTAGAACCTCCATTACGATGTTGAATCAAAATGTTAAGAATGGAAGTCTTTGCCTTGCTTAATCTTTGGGGGAAACAAAATCAGTGTTTTACCACTAAGCATGATGTTGTCCATAGGATTTTTAAAGGTGAAGATTTTTTAACCACAAATTCAATTTATTTAACCAATAAAGGCATATAGAGATTATATATCTGTTTATTAGTGAGCTTTGGTAGTTTATGTCTTGTAAGGATTTGTTTCTTTCATCGAAGAGGTCAAAATTAATGACTTAAGATGTTTCATAAGGTCTTCTTATTTTTCTTTTAATATACGTAGAACCTAAAGAGATGTCATTTTTCTTATTCATTATATGGATATTTTGTGTCTTCTCTTTTTATTTCCTAATCAGTACAAATAGAGGTTTATGTAAGTGTTATTAATCTTCTCAAAGGACCAGCATTTGGTTTTATTTATTTTTCTCTGCTGCTTTTTTTCCTATTTTTTTTTTGTTTCATTGATTTATTTCTGATTTTGAGCTTACTTTAAGTTTTATTTCCTTTTCCTTTTCTAGTTTCTTAATTTAGAAGCTAAGGTCACTGATCTGTGATCTTTCCTCTTTTCTAATGTGTTGCTCAATGCTATAAATTTCCCTCTAAATTACGCTTTGGTGGCATCCCACAAATTTTTATATCTTGCGTTGTCATTTTAATTAAAGTAAAGGTTTCTTCTATTTCTTTTTTGATTTTCTGTTTGACCCAAGAGTAATTTAGGAGTGTATTCTTTGGTTTCTTAGTACTTGAGAATTTTCCAAGGATCTTTCTGTTCATTTTTAGTTTCAATGCTGTCAGAAAATATAATTTGTATGACTGCAATCCTTGTACATTTTTAAAAGTGTGTTTATTTCCAGCATATGATCTTTTCAGTAAATATGTTCTAGGCCCCTTGAAAAAACAATGTGTATTCTCTTGTTATTTGGTGGAGTTTTCTGAAACTGTCACTAGGTTGATTCATTGACTGTAGAAATATAGTTGACTTTATATAAATATAAAGTAGATTGGTTGACTGTGAAAGTGGATTCTTAGTACTGTTAAAGCCTTCAATTTTACTCATTTTTTCCACTTATTCTATCAATAATTGATATATCTGACTAAAATTTATGAACTTATCTATTTATTTTTGCAGGTTTATTTATTTGTACTTTATATAGTTTGAAGTGGTTTCAACAGGTTCAAAAAATGTTTATAATGTTATATCTTCATAAATTGATCCTTATGTCATTATAAAATTATTCTTTAAGTCTTTAGTCTTTATTCTGGATTTTGTTCTTTCTGATATTAACATAATCATTTTCATTTTCTTCTGACTAATGTTAATGTTGAATTTTTTTCCATTACTTTACTTTTAGCTTATTTGTGTTTTTATGTTAAAAGTTGGCTTCACATAGGCAGAATACAGTTGAGTCTCGATTTTTAAAATCTTACTTAATAGTCACTGCCTTTTAATTGGGGTATTTATAACATTTACATGTCATGTGGTTATTGCTATGGGAAGATTAAGTCTCCTGTTTTTTAATTTGTTTTCTACTTGTATCATCTATTCTTTGTTTTCCTTTTTCTTTTGTTTTTATTTTGCCTTTTTTTGTTTTTTGGGTTTTGTTTTTCAGACGGAGTCTTGCTTTGTCGCCCAGGCTGGAGTGCAACGATGTGAATTTGGCTCACTGCAACCTCCACCTCCCAGGTTCAAGCGATTCTCCTGACTGAGCCTCCCAAGTAGCTGGGATTACAGGCATGCACCACCATGCCCGGCTAATTTTTTTTTTTTTTTTTTTTTCTGGAGTCGGAATCGCCCAGGCTGGAGTGCAGTGACTTGATCACAGCTCTCCTCAAATTCTCGGGTTTAAGTTATCCTCCCACCTCAGCCTCCCAAGTAGTTTGAATTACAGGCACATGCCACCACCCAGCTAATTTTTTATTTTTTTGTTGAGATGGAGTCTTGCTATGTAGCTCAGGCTAGTCTTGAACTCCTGACCTCAAATGGTCTTCCTGCCTCAGCTTCCCAAAGTTCTGGGATTACAGGTGTGAGTCACTATGCTCAGCCTGCCTTCTTTTAGATTGAATACTTTTAATTATTCAATTTTATTATCTTTCTTGACTAATTGGCTACAACTCTTTGATGTTTTGTTTTTGTGATTGCACTACAATGTATAGCATGGCTCTTTAGCTTATCACAGTCTAAATTCAAGTAATACTATACTGCTGCCTTTAAAATACAAGAACATTACAAGTGTCCTCTTACTCGTTTCTTTGTACCATTTTTACTGTTGTTGCCATTTGTTTTACTTCTACATATGCTATCAATCATACAACACATTTTTATTTCTTCCTTGATCAATTATATCTTAAAGACATTAAAATAACAGGAAAATATTTTTAAATTTATCCTCATAGTTAACATTTCTGGTGTTTATTATTTGTGTGTGTTTGTGAGATACAGATCCAGATTTTTGACTGGTATCATTTTCCTTTTGCTTGAAGGATTACTTTTAGCATTCACCATAGTACAGATCTGATAGTAATAAAGTCTTACAGATTTTCTATGTCTGGAAGAAAACTTAATTTTGCCTTTGTTTTTGACGTATAATTTGGCTGAACATGGAATTCTAAAATGGCAGATTTTTATTAATTTGAAGTTGTTGCTCCACTGTCTTCTCACTTGGATTGTTTCTAAGCAGAAATTTGTCATCATTCTTATCACAGATTCTCTGTAATTATATTTTTTTCCTCTGGTCACTTTTAAGATTTTCTTTTTACCAGTGGTTTCCAGCAACTTGAATGTGATGTGATTAGGGGTTGTTTTCTTAATGTTTCTCATAATTAGGATTTCTTACACTTCTTAAGTTTCTGGGTTTATAGTTTTTATCAAATTAGAAAAATTTTCTACTTTTATATTTCAAATAGTTTTCCCCCACTCTCTTCCTCTTCATAAGAGACTCTGATTGCATGTATATTAGCATATTTTAACTGTCCCACTGACTATTGATCCTTTATGCTTTCTTTTTCAGCTTTGTCTCTGTGTTTTCTTTTTGATCATTTCCATTGCTGTGTTTTCAAGTTTACCAAGATATACTGTCTTTTACACATCTTCTGTTGGTTACATTAAACATTCTACTATGCGTGGTTGACTTATCAAAGTCTGACATAATTGATATTGTTACAATTCTTTCTAGACAATGCAATGACCTGAAAACCTTTTAACTTTATCACCTCCCCAACTTACATGACATTGTTGTCATGTATTTGATTTCTACATACATTTTAATACTCATGAGACAGAACTATCATTTCAGTCAGCCAATGTTGAATATATACTCCCATTGACTACCTTGTTTTCTCTGTTTCTTTCTTAATTTCTGACCTCACTGTAGAGTCAATTTCCATCTAATTAGAGAAAAATGTTTAGTATTTTCATTACTGCTGGTCAACAAATAATGAATTATTATCATTTTTGTCTTAAAATATATTTCATTCCTAAAGGATACTTTCACTAGGTATAAAAGTCTGGATTGTCAGGGGTTTTTGCAGCAATTTAAATATATTATTCTATTGTCTTCTGGCTTTCTTTTCTATTGAGAATTCAGTCATTAGCCCATTATTACTCCTTTGAAAGCAGTATGCCTTTTTCCCCCCTTCTGGCTTCTGGTGGTAAGATTTTTTATAATATACTTAAGTGTGGTTTTCTTTTTAGTTATACTGCTTGGAGTTCATAGGGCTTCTTGATTCATAATCTTTTTAATCTTTTTTTTTAGCTGCATCTTATCTTCTATTTAACCTGAATCTAATTTGCTATTAAAACCGTGTATACGCATTTTCAATTACTTTATTTCAATTCCAGAATTTTCATGTGAGTTCTTGTTAGACTTTCTAGTTCGCTAATAAAGTTATTAATTATCTTTTATCTTCCTGAATATAGAACATAGGGGAGCTCCTTTGTTGTTTATGTTTGAATATTCCAGTATCTGGGGATCCTACAGGTCTTTTTCTGTTATTGGATCTTTCTGCAAGTTTTCCTTCATATTGTCTTGCTTCCTAATATTATGATTATTCTAGACAAAATTTAAGACCAAGATCTATTTTATCTTCCTTCAGAAAGGTTCTATATTTCTTGAGTGTGCAAGATACCTGGAAGCGCTAATACTGCAGGAAACCCTTACTCTAATATTAAGTGTTGCAATGGTCCAAAGCTGAGCTTCCCTAGTTGTAAGGCCTACTGTTTGTTTATTCATATTCTTAGGACACAACCCTCAGAGTCTCAACTAAAGTAAGCATGGTTCACCCATACCTATAGCTTGAGCGAGTCCTGCTAATCAATACCTGTTGCCTTGGCCCTGAAAGATTGTCAAAAGTGCCACTCAATCTCTCCATACTTGGAAGGGAAGAGAAAAAAACATCAGGGTTAAAGGAAAACCCCCAAATATTCTAGTTATTGCCCTAAACATTCATCTTCCTCAAGATCCTGGTCTAGTAATTTATCTCTAATTTGTCATCTCTTCAATATATTCAAATAGACTTTTTAGAATATTTTTCCAGCTAGTCTAATTTTTCTCAGCCAGGGGGTTGGTTTGAGCTGTTTAATGTGTCATTTTCAAAAAAAAAAGAAGTAACATTTTTTTCACTTGCCTTCAGTTTTAAAATCATTGCTACGGCAATGAGGACTAAGAATATTGGCAAACAAAGTTTGTGGCTGGTAGTGAACAATCGTTGGAATATGGGGTCATTTATAATTTGAGTGTATGTTGTTTTGATTCTACCCAAGTGATTAAACCCAGAGATGTTTCTTACTTCGTCATTAATTTAATTAACATAGATAAACCCAACCTCAAAGATTGGTCTCTCTGAACTCCCAGAAACTCTTCTCTGAAAGACTTATTTGGCCTTTAGCCGAAATACTTATATTGCAATTCAATTGTTTTATGTCTGTAAGTTCTCACTCCTTGAGTAGTTTGCAAGGCACTTTGGGGTTAAGAATATATCCTAAATTTCTTTATATCTTCTGATCCTTAAGATAATCTATCTCATTAAAAGGATAGGTACTAAACAAAAAATTCACTGAATGAGGTTTGAATACATACCTCCAATGCATTCAAGACGAAGCCCAAGCTTATTTTGTTGGCATTGAAGATCTTCATGAGCAGCCGCTGCCATATTCTCCAGCTCTATTACAGGCCTGCCTACCCCGTGTCTGACATAAGAAGTCTCCCTCTAGTCCTGCTGAACTGCCATGCTGTCCCCTAACCCATGTCACTCTCATAGCTATACCTTTGTTGATGCTGTTCTCTCTGCTTGAAATGCCTTACTTTCTGTCCTGCGCTCTGTCTCCATCACTTTCCATATCTGGCTTCTGCTAACTTGCACTTAGCCATGAAAACTCAGTTTAGACATCACCTCCTCTAGGAAGCCTTCCCTGATGTACTCAAGATTGGGGTAAATACCTGTTCTAGGTGTTCCATCTTACTCACCCCATTACAGTCCTTTCAACACTGTATCATAGTCATCTCTTTAATTTGTATGTCTCGCACACTTAACTATTAGTTTCGCAAGAGACTTATTAATTCATTGTTTATCTGATCATTGTTTTCCCAGCTCCTAGGTCCTCAATAAATGTTGACTAAGTGACTAAATAGAGGGGTAGAGGAAATGAATGAAAACAGGCTAAAATAAGTCAATTTTTGAAAATTAATCAAATAACAGATTATAAAAATTTGCAAATGAATTTTTTGGAACATAGCATCAGACCTCAAACAATTATAATAAAGAAATAAAAAAGTCATGCACATCAGGGAAAATCCTTAAAGAAGAGGAAAAAAAGTAAATACAATGTCAATCTTTAAAAGAAAGGAAAAGAAATATTGGTCAGCCTAAAACACAGTGCCAGGGAAGTTACGAAGATAAATCATCAAAATGATCAATTTGCAATCACCCAGAAGAACATAACAGACTGGGTAGCAACCAACATGGCTTTTAGAGGAACAAATCATGCCAGACCAATTTAATTTCCTTCTATGATAGAGTGACAGGCCTTGTAGATAAAAAGGATGCAATAGATGTAATCTCTCTAGACTTCTGTAAGCCTTTGATTCTGTCCTACCTGACATTCTCATCAACAAACTGGGGAGATCTAATCTAAACCACACAACTATTCAGGGGATGCACAGCCAACCAGACAGAGGCATCCAGAGAGCACTTGTCAATGGCTTAGCATTTACCCAGGAGAACATTACTGGGAATAGCCTTGTCATGGTGCCTAGGATCAATTGACTCTTTTACAGCCAAATGAAAGGTTAAAGTATAAATAGAGATGTGTATATAATAAACGATATGTTTACACAGCAACATCTGCAAATTTATTTGAAGTTCGAGTAGTGTTTCTGCATAGAACTACTTGGCATACAACAAATGGATCAGTAAACAAATATGTGCTTTGAGAGTGACTTATGTTCATACTGAAGAGATTGTTTTACCTAAAAATTGCAGCCCTAAGTCCATAATAGTACCCTGGGAAGCACTGTAACACCACCACCAGCAGCTCTGCCTATACTGTTTTCTTGAGTGAAGTCTCTGCTAATCAATACTCTGATATCTCCTTCTATCATGTTTGTTCTGCATCATGTGGATTGCTGTTCCATCTTCTGCCGTCCTCTTCCCAGCATCCTCCACTGTCCAAATGATAATTTCAGCCTGACTTCCCCCTTCCCATTCTATCTCACAGTATCTACCTTCGCCCATAACATCTGACCATCCATTCTTACCCATGTTTTCTTCCCCTGCTCAATATCCTGTAGGTACGGGTAGATGAGATAGAATGAAGGGAAACTCAAGCTAATAAAAAAGTTAATAAAATTTAGAGATGAGATAGACCAGAGACCATCAGGGTTACACAGGATTTTTTTTTTTTTTTTGAGACAGAGTCTCACTCTGTTGCCCAGGCTGGAGTGCAGTGGCACAGTCTCAGCTCAATACAACCTCTGCCTCTCCGGTTCAAGTGATTCAAGTGATTCTCCTGCCTCAGCCTCCCGAGTAGCTGGGATTACCGGCATGCACCACCACACCCAGCTAATTTTTGTATTTTTAGTAGAGATGGGGTTTCACCATGTTGGCCAGGCTGGTCTCGAACTCCTGACCTCAGGTGATCCACCTGCCTTGGCCTCCCAAAGTGCTGGGATTACAGGCGTGAGCCACTGCGCCCGGCTGGGGTTATTATTATTTTTTTAATTAAAAAGTAAACTTTAATGTCGAAAATTCAAACTTGGAGAGGGCAGAAAGATCACACACAAGGCTGTCACTTCACACTTGGAGAGTTGCACAGCCACTACTTTCAATGGCAAAAACTGCAATTACTTTTGCACCAACCTAATACAAGAAGCATGACGCCAGCATCTGATTGGCTTTTGGGAGGGCCTCAGACTGCTTCTGCTCAGGGCAGAAAGTAGAAGAGGAGTGGGCATGTACAGAGATGACATCTCAAGAGAGAGAAACTGAGGAAGCCAGACTCTTTAACAACGTGCTCTCAAAAACTAATCCATTCTCAGGGAAGGGAGAACTCACCCCAAAGGAGAGCACTAATTTATTCACGAGGATCCTGTCCCCATGACCTCCCTCTAGGCCACACCTCCCAACACTGCCACATTGGGAAACAAATTTCAACATCAGTTTTGGCAGAGACACCACATCCAAGCCATAGTGCACAGTGAAATAAAGCAGTATTCGGCTGTTAGATGATACTGTTATTATCACTACTGTACAGAGATGACTTCCCTTTAGGGGTCATAAAAGGCCTCAGAGAAGCTGTACTGCTGCGATTTTATGATTTTGTGTAACTCGTGGACTAAAGATAAAGCAAGGGCTGCTCTGCCCTCTGGGGAAAGAATCTTAACTCTAAAAGGGCCAATTAGATTAAACATCCTTTCTTGAAAGAATAAACTAACAACTAAATGGAATTTGTATTTTGTAAAGAAAAGCAAGTTAGGTTTTGCTTAAGATGAACTTAGAATCCATTTCCAGGTCTTTTTCTTCATAGAAACCATTAAGCTAGACTCTAGAAGTAAATATAACAGGTGGTAATAGTGTATATGAGGTAAAATAGAGAATTGTGGTTTTATTGAGAAAATACAAGCCAGAAATAGTTCTAAAGCACTTCTTCATTCTAGACATCTAATCAATATTTCAGATGGTAGAATGACAGAAAAAAATCCTTTCATATCTTCAATTTGTTTTGTATATGTAGATTATAACAGGTGATCATAATAATACCTATCATAGTCTTACTGATTTCTAAGTTGCAAAGTTTCATCCACATACTTTATCTCCTTGGATTCATACTATTTCTGAAAAATAAATAGAAAACATTATTCTCATTTTGCAGGTGAGGATAGTGGGATAATAGATACAAAGTCACATAATTGAATACTGGTTGAACTTGTACCCAAACCAAGACCTTTGATTTCTAGGAGATGATTATTTATTATAATTTTTATACAGCTGTTGGTATATTTTGAATACATACTCTCCATCAAGGTTGTGAGTATCACTCTCATGAGGCTGTTTGCAAATTCTAAAAGTTCATTTGTAATGAATTTGATATGTATTTGTACTTAATAAAATAAATTTGAGGGTGTGGAAACAGTGGTTTTCTGCCATTCAATTAGATGACTCAACCAGCCCGTTGCGAGTGAATTCTGAGCAAATGAGGTCTTGAGATGACAAAAGGATGAGTCAAAGATGGAGGCTGAAAAGGTGTCTGCAAAGTCCAGGACCTGAAATTATCAGCTATGAATTAACGTGCTTTGGAGGAAGAGTTATAGTTCATGTTGTAAATATGCTGATGCTTTTATTCTAAGTATATTTCAAGCAATTCACTTGAATTCAATGAGGAAGCCAGGACACAGAGAGTGATATGGTTTGGCTGTGTCCCCACCCAAATCTCATCTTGAATTATAACTCCCATAATTCCCACATGTCATGGGAGGGACCTGGTGGGAGGTAATTGAATCATGGGGACGGGTCTTTCCTGTGCTGTTCTCCTGATAGTGAATAAGTCTTATGAGATCTGATGGTTTTATAAAGCGCAGTTCTCCTGCACATGCCCTCTTGCCTGTGTCATGTAAGATGTTCCTTTTCTCTTCCTTTGTCTTCCACCATGATGGTGAGGTATCCCCAGCCTCGCAGTGGAACTGTGAGTTCATTTAACCCCTTTCCTTTGTAAATTACCCAGTCTTGGGTATGTCTTTATTACCAGCATGAGAATGGACTAATACAGGGGGTTAGGTTGCCCATAGCCTCCCAGCTAGTAAATGGATGAACCAGGATTCCAACCCTGGCTGAAGAACCCAGGCCCTTAAAACGGTTTCAACAATAATACCAACCTCACAAAGTTTCTATAAACATCAAAATGAGTTGATAGATGTAAAATGCCCAGCACTGTACCTGGCACATAGTAAGCATTTAATAAATATTTAAGAAATATTTTATTACTAATAATATTATAGTCTGCTATCTCTCAAAATGTAAAATATGAAGCCAGTGACAAATAAAATCAGAACAATCCATGTTCCAGAAAAATTGCATTAAAAGAGAATGAGGAACATTTACTAAAATGGGGGATTTTCAAGGATAAATCAACTCAGAATTGAGCACCAAAGAGTTTTGATGCTCAGAAGAAATGCATACAAGATACTGGGGCATAAAATGAAAAAGAATGATTGACCAGAAGAAAACTAAACTGACTACGGACTAGCACAGTAGGAAAACCAACATATCCAAGTTGGTGTGTGTGGTCGCGTGCGGAAAGCAAAGCAACGCAGCACGTTCATGGTCCTTCTCTCCCCATCACTCCCCAGTATCCTCATCTTGTCTTCCTAGTTCCCAGGTATGCAGACAACCAGAAGGCCTTTGTTCTTTTTTGACCCTATTTTTATTTTTATTTATTCATTTGTTTTCTGAGACAAGCTCTTGCTTGGGGACCCAGGCTGGAGTGAAGTGGCACAATCTTGGCTCACTGCAGCCTCTACCTCCCGAGCTCAAGCGATTCTCCCACCTCAGCCTCCCAAGAAGCTGGGACTACAGGCAAGTACCACCATGTCCAGCTAATTTTTGTATTTTTTGTAGAGACGGGGTCTCGCCATGTTGCCCGGGCTGGTCTCGAACTCTTGGGCTCAAGCAATCTGCCTGCCTCAGTCTCCTAAAGTGCTGGGATTACAGGTATGAGCCACCGCATATGGTCTTGACCCTATTATTATTATCATTATTATTATTATTATTATTATTATTATTAAGAGTTTTACTCTTGTTGCCCAGGGTGGAGTACAATGGCACAATCTCAGCTCACTGCAATCTCCACCTCCCGGGTTCAAGCGATCCTCCTGACTCAGCCTCCCGAGTAGCTGGGATTACAGGCGCCGGCTACCACGCCTGGCTAATTTTTTTGTATTTTTAGTAGAGACGGGGTTTCACCATGTTGACCAGGCTGGTCTTGAACTCCTGACCTCAGATGATCTACCCGCCTCAGCCTCCCAAAGTGCGGGAATTACAGGCATGAGCCACAGTGCCTGACCGGCCTTGACCCTATTATTAACAAAGAGGAAAAATCAAGCCATCCAGTGCAGAAAACCTACAGGATGAGCAGGAAAGTCAAATCAGCTGGGTCCCTGCTCAAGTTCCTGCTGGCGTATGTGAGCGTAGATGTATCCTTCCTGATGAATATCAGTTTTATATTCCTGGTTTGGATTTCCAGCAGGATGAAGGATAGGCGATCTCTCAGCCCAAGCATCACAGAGCAGAGAACTCGTGTTTGATCTTTTGACCTTGCTTTGTTGTCAGGGATGGAATTGTGTTGACAGCAAGGCTGGATGTGTGAGCTTGCAACCTGTGCAGAACCAGCAGACCCCCAGGCTCAGAGGATCTTGCACTTGATTTAGTGCTCTGCTCTCACTGTCTTGAAACTCTTAATAATTTTATCTTTTTCTAATGTTTTATAAGTCACATCCAGTAAGACAATGGGGAATAGGCATGAGCAGCAAAAATACACACAACATATGCTTCCTCTGTTCCTTGTCACCTTATTCATGTCAAACATTTGTGTTGCCCCATGACCCACAGTGTGTAGGAATTCAGAGAGACTCGATGAGAGCACAAGATCAGTGTGTTGTGTTGCTAGAAGGGGCATGTATCAAGAAGTGAAATTGTAATCCCAGCACTTTCGGAGGCCAAGGTGGGTGGATCATGAAGTCAGGAGATTGAGACCATCCTGGCCAACATAGTGAAACCCCGTCTCTACTAAAAATACAAAAATTAGCCAGGTGTTGTGGCGCGTGCCTGTAATCCCAGCTTCTCGGGAGGCTGAGGCAGGAGAATCACTTGAACCCGGGAGGGGGAGGTTGCAGTGAGCCGAGATCGCGCCACTGCACTCCAGCCTGGGTGACAGAGTGAGACTCCGTCTCAAAAAAAAAAAAAATATATATATATATATATATATGAGTTAGTTCTGTGCAGTGCTTCCTCTGTTCTGGTAACAACCGCATATGCATACATGAGCTACAAAACATGCATTGTGTAATTTCAGTCATTTTGCATACTAGTTAAATGCTCTTATAATTTCATGCAAAACTAGCATCATACAATATTAAAATGAGTGGTGAAATCCATACTAATAATTGACAATTTTAAATTTTCTTTACCAAGAATGGTATTAAACAGCAAATAGGAAACACCATGACTCTCGAGAGAGGGTGAGTTCCTGGAGGAAAAGAAAAAGCTTTGTCTTATAATGCCTTTCACAGAACTTTTCTCCTGCTTTTTTGAACAAGAGGCTTTGCATTTTTGTTTTGCTCTGGGTCTGCAGATCATGTGGCCATCCCTGGTTGGCACATTCTATGTGCCTATGAGCAATGTGTTTCTGAGGTACCCCTTTCTTGTTGGAGTTTATTCCTGCATGTCATGAGTCACTGCTTGGCACAGGGGACTTATGTGTTTGGGAAGCCAGGCCACTTATATTCCCACTGTGCTAGAGACTCGGATCTATCATACCTGTTACCTCATTCCCTAGACATCCCACACCTTGGCTAGGCTAAGTCCGCTTCCTCTGTGTTCGCCAAGATCTCGGTGAGCTTCCCTAAAAAGCACTCTTTATTCCATTTGGCTTTGTTCCTACATTTTCTCTTTCTCACTGGTCTATTAAGTAGCTCTTGGATGATGAAGACAAGGAACTGCGTCCTTCATCTTATGTCCAGACCCTGAACACAGGCCCCTGCAGATGACAGTCACTCACAGACTAAATGACATCTCATCCTCCCAGTGCCCACCTCCTTCCACCCTTCATACACCTCCTCACACGTGTACAATAAATAAAATCCTTTTCCCCCTAGTGTCTAATTGTAGAAGACAGAACTGTTTTGTTGTCTCTTCATTATCCCACTGGACTAAATACAAGGGCAAATAATCTAATTCTACCTAACATGCCCTGGCAACCGACAAGCCTCTTCTTCCTTCTCATAGTGCATTTCTCAAAGGGAAATGCAGCATATAAATGACAGTGTCAAGTTTTACAGACCTGAATCTGAGTCCCAGTTTGGCTTCTAACAAATGCCTCCAGCCAAACCATTCAAGTTATCTGAGCTTTAATTCCTTCATTTTATTAAACGTGTAATAATAGCACCCTGATGTGAAATACGCATGTCATTTCTGTAACATCTTCCACAGAGTTTGTTGATTCATAATACATAACTGACTTTATCATTGTTATCCCTGCCTTCAGGGAGGTTAATATATTTTAGGTTCTACATTGGTGTTACATCTTCTGAGTGAATAGATTAGAAGCAACAAAGACCAGAGAAGGTTGTCAAGCACCAGCTCCTGAACCTGAGCCAAGGAAATCAGTGGGTCAAAGCACTATTATGATGCACCCTGCTTCTCGGATTGAGAAGAGTCCATGGATGAGCTGGACCCTGAAATAAGTAAAGAACTGCTGGTCTTTTATGAGAAGTAAGGGGTAGGCATTCCAGGCTACAAGGAAAGCATAAGCAAGAGTGTGCACATGACTGTGTTTATCCATCCCTATGACAGTCTATGCACAAGGGCAGGCAGTGAGCAAAGGGGGCAAAGGGATAGGTGACCCAGGAACTTGTATTAAGTGCCAGCTTTGAGAGCACATGATTCCTATACTTTTGGAGTTGAACAAAACAGTCACTACTAACCCTTGGCCTGCTAACTGTGCATATGTATCGGTAGAGAATGTCCAGTATATTTGCTTAGACTCTGTGGTCTGAATCTGAGCACAGATCACTTACAGGTAGAGACTTCACCTCCTTTAGGCCAGGTTTCCTTTTATAGATCAGGCCAAAACCACTTGCTTAATTGCATCAAAGACTAATAAACATCACTGTCCAGTGAGACCCTGATCTCCAGGTACTCAACCTCTGTTAGTTGAAAATAATAGTTCTCAGAGAAGGGCATTTTTAGGAGGGATCTTTTCTTCCTCAGTATTTAGTGGACACCAACTTTGAGGGTGAAGGATAAGCAAGGCATCATCCCTGCCCATAAGAAGACTCAACTCACCGTCTTTCATATAATATCAGAACAAGACACCAATTTATTCACCAGCTAGAGAGTGGACTTCTTAAACTCAACACTGGGACTTACGTTACCAAAGTAAGGGCCATGTGTGTGTGTGTGCACGTGTGTGTATGCATGCGTGTGCAGATGAGAGCAGATGAGGGAAGAATGATCAGAGTTTGGGCAGAGATGAAGAAACAATGACAACTAATGAATCAACAAGTGGCTGGTGGTGGCAATAGCTTCAAGGACTGAACACAGAAGCAGAAACTATTTTTAGGTTATACCTTTTATTGCTGATGCTTTGCAAAAAAACATAGATTTCCTTCATACATCACTGGCCTTTTTCTCTGGCTTTTCTCTTCCTTATCTGTAAGTAATCTTTGGAACAACAAATATTTAAGACCCATCTCAAAGTTTTTCCAAGATTGAGCTTTGATATGATTGGCTGCTACCTACAAACACAAGGAAGCTCCTTATTTTATCTGCCATTTATTTGATCTTGTTTCTTAGCCCTCTCCAGGACAGCACTCATAAGGAGACAGTACTCCTGAAGGCCGCTTATGGCCATGTGAAGAGAAACTTCTCTACAGACTCAGTTCTGCGTACACACATAGTTCCTGAAATGGAATGCCAGCAATGTTGCCTAAAGCAACCCGACACACACAACAATATGTGTATTCATTTGAACATTAAACAGTGAGACAATCCTACAGCACAATCCTACAGGCTTTCAATCTGTAGATTACCAGCCCTTAGAGCCTAGCTTCGGCCCGCTCCTCACATCACCCTCTGCCCCCAGAAAATGCATTTTATTGCACATTTTGTGGCAAAGCTTATGACAATTATCACCCAAATCCATAATTAGCAAGTGGTAACATATAGGCAGATAGATCCACTTAAGGTGACATCTCTGACAGATTGACATCCCCCCCACCCACTCACCTTCAAAAACCCCTGCAAGGCTCTTCATTTTAAATGTGACCATGCTCAAACACAATGCTGGCAAGCCTAGTCTCGTGTTCGTGGAGGGGGGAGGGGGTTATAAAAGCGACATGTTCACACAAGCATGGCAGAGCCCATGCATAAACCATTTGGTTTTGCAATTAAAAACAGGTTTGACTTCCTTCTGCAACAGTAAGACAACGTCAAAGCAACAATCATCCCGAAAATTTTCCCTTGTGAATTCAAATGAACTGTGAGTCTTGGGGTTCTCTTTGTTTGCATGTGCATGCCTTGAGAATGAGTTTCTGGAAGGGTTCAACATGTTTCTTTCTGGGGTAGTGCCGTTGAGGTGTGTGTTGAATCACTGCTACCAGATGGGTCTCGGTTACACTCACCATTCCGGGTTCCTTAGGTACAGGGTTAGCGCGTTTTGGATTTGTCCCATCGGGCTTATTACTGCAGGTAAACTAACTCTCCAAGACCCATCCCTTTGACCTAGAAAATAATCACTCGTCTTGAAGATCTGCCTGCAATCCACGCTTATAGACTGGACCTGAGTTTCAAAGGGACTAAAAACACAAATGTGCTCCCTACTAGGAAGTGTAGTAAATTTGACTACAATGACGGCTAATTATATCTTTATTGTTGTCATTCTTGAATGATGGATTGAACGATTAGATCCTATGATATTGGGAGAAATCTCTACCTTAAAGCTAAAATCCTGCACTGTACAAGGAAGGGCTGAGGAGGATGCTGTAAAAGCCGATCCTAGTTCCAGGGAACTCACCCATTTTCTACAAGGTCGAAGATTACTTCCATTTTTCTTTCTCTCATTCTTTCTCCACTCAATGCAATGTAAAGAAATATCGCCCATTATTTCAGTGTTTATTGTTAAAATATGAGTTCGAATTTTCTGCCATATTAAAAAAAATGCAAAGTAACCGGTCCTTATCCATGCATCAAAACTGTCAGAGCCTGGGCGACTCTGCGTTTGAAGAGATCGGAGGAAGAGAATTGGTTGACAGCACCCTCGGCCCATCCTTTGATGTACAAGGAAAGTTCTGTGAAAAGACAACATATTAGCAATGTCAAATTTTGAATGATGATGATGATAATTAATATTAATTAAAAGAGAGACAAAAAAGAACAATTAATCTCAGTACAGTATACTTGATCTAAAAGTTATCATGGAATGAATTTGCCTCTATTTACTTTATTAAAGCCTCACCAACTTCCTTTTAAGAAAGTTTAGTTTATTGGTGTTTCTCTGGAATTATCTTATCTTAAAATGTCACCATCAAAAGTTATTCAGTAAAATAATTTCTAAAATGTAGGTCAACTTTTATTGCATCATTCTGAAATTCATAATTTGAGATAAATATAAAACCTTCACAATGTGTGAAGTAAGTAAAAATATTATTGACACAAAGTAAGTAAGATACACTAATATATATGAATAATATGTGTAATTGCATTTAAAAATTCAAAAATTCCTTTAACCTATTTTGTCCTATATTTTACCTTTATATAAAAGCATAATTCATACACATAATTGTATATTTCCCCAAAATACATGTTTTGCTTGCTTTTGACCTATGGACTAGATGAATAGGAAAAGAGAAATGAAATTTTTCTAAATATGAATTTTTATTTTTGCTCTGATAAAAATAATTCATTTTCTCAACAAATTATTAACAATAAATAAAAATATTTTCAATATTTATTAATTATACATATTGGAAATTTTTTATTGATGTTGGACTCTCATTTGCTGGACTGTTTGTTTTCTAACCTTATACATAAAAAACAAAGCATAAAAAGCAGTTTTAAATTTAGTTTAACTAAGGCAAAAATAAATTCAACTTTTAACATCACAAAAATAACAGAATTTTGTAACAAAGTCAGACTCCTAAAAATAAATATATGATAATGAAAATAATTTTATAAAGCTTTATGTAATTTGAATTTTCCCCTCCATTTATCAAAACATTGCTTCTTATTGAAAACATTTTTTAATGAGCAAAAAACTACTACCACTTAATTCAAATATTGATTGGAGAAGACAGACTATCTGTGCTTTCTACAAGCTTATAAATTTTACTAGAGGAGCTACTTATTTAGGTTTTTTTTAAACTAATTTAGAGTTAATAGCTCTGTTTCCTAACAACAATGTATCTGAAGTGTTGTAAAAGAAAGAAGGGAATTAAGCGGTTATTAGGTCTTCAAACTCAAGTTTTCAAATGCCCAATAAATGATGCAATTGTGACTAAAGAAAGTTTTAAGTTGGAGATGGTTAAATAAAGAAATATTCAGAACTCACATAGAATTGTGATAAATAGTTTTTGTGAGAGCTTAAATAGGCCAAACATAAAGGATTGCTTCTAGGAAGGGGGCTGAAGAATCAGAAAGTTAGTAACGAAAATTCTTAGAACTTAATCACGAGCTTGTATTTCAGTAAATTAAACACCTTTCGTGTAAAGGATAGATGTACAGAAGTCATTATATCATTATGCTAATTTGTCACCTATCTGCACTGAAAAATCATATTGTGGGATTTATTCCCAACAACCAGAATTACATGGTAGTTTTTTTAAAGTTTGGAGTTGTTTAGTTTAGGTTTTAAGCAATACATTCACCCTTATGAATTGGAGAATCGACTTTCCCAAACTTATCATAAATTGCGTTTCTGAGGAGGTTTTTTAGTAGAAACAGAATGAAATGAAAGCACCTGCTCATTGAAACCACATCACTGAAGCTGCTCATAGCACATCAAACATGAAGAAGCAGGCAAGTCCTCCCTTTTCTCCCTGTGGGTTAAAGTAAGGCACCGAGTTTAAAAATGGGATTCTGTCTCTCCTCTTTGCATTTCTGCTCGTACACGTCCCATAAAAACATGACTGAGAGCACAGACCCACTCCACAGGTGTGTCGTGGAAGCCGCTAGTAAAAAATGATTTTAAAACATTTGGAAACTGCCAAGCTCTTGAGAAAATGCTTATTAAAGACCAATAAAATTGTGAAAATTGAGAAGAAAACATACAGTAAACTTTTTTGGTGTGCTTTAAAGAAGGCAGTTTCATCTCCAGTCACGTGGGCTTGGCTGTGGTAAACCCAGGCAAGAAAAACAAGCTTGTCCATGATTTCCTAATGAAGGGCTAAAGAGAGTTGAGAACAACAGTTCCATATTCACTAAGTCGCCCATGTAGATATAAGCCATTTTCACCCGTAGCCACCATAACCCAGAATTTTACAAGTGATTGAAAATTCTGCAAACACTCCCAGACAGTGCCCATATTATCAGTAATAAATGAAGTATGAGTACCGTCAACTGAAATTCAAAATGGTCATTGGGTCTCTTTCTGCCAGACACCTGGACCATGAGGCAGGTGAAAGAGAGAATTTGGTCATTTTAACAGCCAGTCTGGGATTGTTTCATTGATAGCAACTGTAAGGAGAATCAACGTTGCATGGTCTCGTAGTTCCTAATACTGCAGATTGATGATATGCTCCTGAAAAGCTACAGTTCTGCAAGGACCAAAAGGAAAGATGAATTTTCTTCCAGTTTTATAGCATTTGTGTAGAATGTTTCATTCTTTATTTTAAAAATTATTTTTCCCAACTCAATTGATTAGTACATTCTTGGAAATGAGATCCTCATACAGAATTAGCTGATTCTGGGCTTTCCTCAATGACACTATTTTCAAATCTGCTTGATCCTAAGAATCTCCTGTGCACTGCCTAGACCTAAAGAACAAACTCTCTAATGAAAATTCTGAACACAGGTGTTTTTTAAGCACTCCATTTTTTAAAGACACCCCAGGTGAGGATCAAACAAGTTTGGGAAATCCAGTTTAAGTTTAATTGGAACAAATTTAATGCTGACAACACAAAATACCCAAGAAGAATAGAGAAGGGAGTCTTCATTGCATAGCTCCAAGAAGCATGGTGATCTTTCTCCTTAGAGACTTTCTGAGTTCTGTTATGTAGATATAGATTAGTACAATAACCAGTAGTTGGTGTCCCATTTAAACACTCAAGTACTATAAAAACTTTTTTTTTTTTTGAGATGGAGTCTTACTCTGTCACCAAGGCTGGAATGTAATGGCATGATCTCGGCTCACTGCAACTTCCACCTCCTGGGTTCAAGTGATTCTCCTGCCTCAGTCTCCCGAGTAGCAGGGACTACAGGTGTGTGCCACCATGCCCGGCTAATTTTTGTATTTTTAGTAGAGACAAGATTTCACCATGTTGGCCAGGCTGCTCTCAAACTCCTGACCTCAAATGATCCACCTGCCTCGACCTCCCAAAGTGCTGGGATTACAGGCATGAGCCACCGTACCTGGTTCACAAACATTTTCAAAAGCCATCTCAAAAGCTTTAGAGGAGTATCTAGGTTAAAAATTGTAACTCAAGAACTTCAAACATAGCAGTCAAAAAATTGTTAAATAATGTTAAGCTAAAGGAAAAAAATTATCTTCTGATGATATGTAATTATCCAATAGCTATTTGACATTTTTTAATGTCAAGCCCAACATAATGAATTGAATATGTCATATGGATTTGAGTCTAAGCAAAGTGTATTCTTGCAGAATAGCCTTGCAAGAATGCAACTTCTAAAGATAAGAGCTTGTAACATAGATTGCTTTGAGGGAGATGAAATAGCACAGTAACAAAAATATACTGCTTTTTTGTCGAATTATTATTTTTATATTGAAAATACTATTCATTATAGAGCCAAAAATGCCTACAAAAATAGCATATAAAAATTATTTTGTTTCACCCTTTGATTGAGAAAACTGCAACCAACTATACCACACACCTCGGTGATTAATAACTCTGATTTATTATAGAGAACGTGAAATCATCCAAGCCTTTTATCCACTAGTTTGCATAATAAACAAGTTTAAAAAACAGCATCAGTACAAGTAGGAGGTCAGTTCATAAAAATTTCATGTAATACAAGTTTCTCTAAACTAATAGGTCTCATAAGTCAAACGCGGCTTCTCATTCCCCATCTCTACCAAATATGCATAAAGTGGAGGTAGTGGGGTGTAGATGAACAGATTTTTCTCTCAATATGGAATTAATATTCTAGATACTTTGCCCAGAGAAGTCTTCTGAATAAATTGTTACTAGCATTCCTCATAGTAATTCTCTGTTTTTATGAATGAAAAAGATAGTAATATTTAATAAATCAATAGTTTCACATCACCTTCTTCCAAATGGAGAAACTGAGGCCCAGGGAGCTGACTATGTTCACAGGAGCTGTCAGGTATTTTCAGATGAGTGAAGCTGATCAATATCTCAGAAAGACCTAGTAACGATTATGCAGAGAATAGAAATTACTAGAGTTTTATCTGCATATCTGAATAAGTAGTTGCCATTTTCATAAAACTTCACAAGAGAAAAGCCATTATGAATGATTTAATGCCAAAGAAATGAAATAAAATTTTCATCTCCAGAAATTTTAGTGATTTGACTGCAGTGGTATCCTGTGCAGTAGATCATTTCTTGTCCTTTTACTTAGCTTAAATGCCCCAGAGGAGATCCTAAGAGCTATACGATATTTCACTTTGGAATCAGATCTATTTGCTTTGGAATCAGATACTTGGAATGGTTAGCAGGTGACCTGAAAACTCCATGATAAAGTCAACCTTGGCCATTTGCTTATATGTCACCTGTATGTCATCACTGAACATTTCCAAACACTGGCTTTAAAATTAAGAGTCTGGAAAAATGTACACATGATATTCATGGGTTGAAGTCAATTGCATTGATTTAACTCTGTTTCCAAATGGGGAATAAAAGAAGACATAGCTGCCTCTCCAATTTTTTCCCCTCTCTCTAGACAGAGGGGTACATTTTTAGACCTCCCGAGAGCCTCATTCATTGTGAACATAAATTTTCACCCTCGAGTTATGCCTGCCTCTTTCTCCTTTGCCGGGATTTGGCTATGGGAGAGAGGGAAGAGAGACCAGAACCACAATCCAAGAATCTTCTTCTTCTTCTCTTCTCATCTTTCTAGCCTCAGCCCTACCATGCCCTAGTGTGAACAAGGTCATGTGTAACTCTGGTGAGAATTTACAGACAAGAATGTCATTTCTCCTGGGTTCACAAGGAAAACAAACCTAGGATTGCTCCTCATGTGAATTTGCGAATAGCCCAGTTTATGACACATCACATTATTAGCACAACAGGAGGGCTGAATCCCAAATGGGGCCCAGCATTGCCTCCTCCTTTTGTTGACAGAAAAAAAGTTTAGTTACTAGCAACCACCCAGCCCCTGCCAATGAGAAGCTGTCCTGCTGTTGCTGGGTACAAACTCACGTGAGAAAGAGGTCAAGGCATACACCACCCATCAGGCGGCAGAGACCTATTGAGAAGCCTATTATTATATGTAGGAGACTGCTGCAAGGAGAAACATCAGCATAAGATACAGTCCAGACTTCTCATCTCACCAGTAAATGAGATTTACACATGAGAAAATCTTTGCCCCAAAAGAAAAAAACCTGACATGCGAGGGTTATACGTCTTAAGTAATAACTAAAGCAATAAATACATCCTATGTGATTGCTCAGAAAAGTAAGATCACAAGTTCCTAAGATGACTGGGATAGAAATAAATCAGATTTTGAGTAGTTCAACATCTGAGGGAGTTCGGAGGTGGGTAAATAATTACTTCTGATGTAAGAATTTGCTCTGACATCTCATTTGTGACTCTCCTTAATTCATTTAAAATACTTTCTAAACAAGGAAAAACTGAGAGGTGAGATCATCATAGAGGAAAAGGCAATAGAAACAAACATTAAAAGATATTTGCTTGCATTAGGTTTTTAAATTTTGTTTGGTTTGATTTATTTCTTCCCTGTCAGAATGTTCGATGTTGAATTTGCTGACTTCTATAGAAAAAAATGAAGCAGGATGTCTCAGAAGTCTCTGAGTGCACTGAATAATTACACTCTGTTTTTCTTACTATACCATTCCAATATTACAGCAATGGTAATTCTAACAAGTCGGTACAGATTCATCAAAACAAAGTTAATGAAGAAGTGGAGACTATATTCAACTTGTCATTTTTTTTATGTTTCTTTGTTATGTGTAGCCATACTTTCCCCACTATTATCTGCATGTTACTTACATTGATTTAATGCATTTAGACAATTTATCTACCATACATTTTCACAATTCAGGGCTGACAGGAATTGTCAGGTTAAAGCTGACAATTGAAAAGTTAAAGCTCTTTAACCTTTGTGGCAGATGAAAACCTACAGTTTTGCCGCTGCCTGTAATGCATGTGTTGCCAAAGTCATTTCGATGGCTGTTTATTGTAAGAAAATAGAAGAGCTGATTACCCAAAATTCAAAAGAGGAGTGGAGGAAATGAGGAAGTGAAGAAGGAAGGAATGGGAAGAGGGGGGAGGGAAGAAGGGAGAGAAGAGGGAGAAATGGAAAGAGAGCGACGAATAAAGAGAGGAAGGAAGGAAGAAAGAAGAGAGAGAAAGAGAAAAAAGGAGAAAAAGAGAAAGGAAAGAAAGAGAAAGAAAAGAAAGAAAGAAAGAAAGAAAGAAAGAAAGAAAGAAAGAGAAAGAAAGAAAGAAAGAAAGAAAGAAAGAAAGAAAGAAAGAAAGAAAGAAAGAAAGAAAAAGAGGGAGAGGGAGAGGGAAGGAAGGAAGGAAAGAAGGAGGCAGGGAGGAAGGGAGGAAGGAAGAAAGAAAGGAGAAAGAATGAAAGAGAAAGAATGAACGAACAGAACAGTAAGTGTCTATTGTTGCAGAGCTCTGTCTTGGCTTGTCATGGAGATATTTCACTTGACTGAAATAAGAGTGCAATAAAGTTATAACATCAGTTACCTCAACGACAAGCCTGCCACCCACACAACCTTGCCATTCAAATGTCTTGCTCATTTTTCTCATTACATTATTATGATCAGCCTCTTAGTCAAGTCTTAGTTTGACTAACCTATTGCCATGGGCTACTACTTGGTCAATTTTCATCGTATTTAACAAGAGCAATGAAATGGCCCTGGACACTCCTGTTGTTTCCATTCCTCTCACAACCTTGATGAGATAATCCAGCTTATCAGCTGTGTCTGAGATTGAGGGGCCCTTTAGGACCACAGGCTCTTTTTCTTTAGTACTTCCTTTCATAACAAAGGGATATGTTCTCAATGGCAACTGAACATTCAAAATGCAACAACGCATGTATTAAAGAACGTGTTTTTCCTTGTTCACATTTACATTTGGAAGAGGGACATTCCAGTAGCTTGGAAGGAACGGTGAATTAAAGTAAAAATAACCTACCTAACATGTTGCTTACCACATACCAAATGCAGTTCTGAGAACGTGGCTCACGTGGGCTCGTTTCGCCTTCATCACAGTTCAGTGAGGAGGGTGCTAGCCATAATTACCCATTTTACAGACCAGAACATGAAAGCACAGAGAAACCAGTTGCTGTGCCCAAGGTCACAGAGCAGGGAAGTGGCATGGTCAGAGCTGAAAGCCAGGAAATTTGATTCTAGATCCACACTCTTAACCCCATGCTCCACTGAAAACAATAAAGGTACATTGTTTAGTAAAATTGTAAAATCAGATCCAATAGAAACTTTAAATACAAAAGAGTTGTGGGAAAAAACAAAGTCGAGGAATGATTTTCCAAAATCCACATTAAACTCTGAGAATCTGAATCCATGTATCAAATTTTCTATGTCTAAAGCCTCCTTTGAAAAAAATATGGGCCAGGTGCAGTGGCTCATGCCTGTAATCCCAGCACATTGGGAGGCCAAGGCAGGTGGATCATCCGAGGTCAGGAGTTTGAGACCAGCCTGGCCAACATGGTGAAACCCCATCTCTACTGAAAATACAAAAATTAGCCAGGTGCGGTGGAGCGCTCCTGTAATCCCAGCTACTCAGGAGGCTGAATGGGGAGAATAGCTTGAATCTAGGAGGCAGAGGTTGCAGTAAGCTGAGATCGCGCCACTGCACTCCAGCCTGGGCAATAGAGTGAGACTCTGTCTCAAAAAAAAAAAAAAAAAAAAGAAAAAAAGAAAAAGAAAAAGAAAAGAAAACGAAAAATATGTTTCATAGCCAAGAAGGATTGAGTCCCGGTTTCCTCATTCATATAGGGGAAACAACACAGCCCTCCTTATACAGTCTTTGGTATGATTATGATAATGTGTGCAAAGCCCATGGCACAGAGTTTGATGTATGTTAGATGATCAACAAATAGCAGCTACTATTTATAACTGTTATTGGATCTTTTCCCCCTGTGTTCCCCTGATACATCCTATCAGATGTATCTTGCATTTAGGTGCCTCCTCTCACTTCACAAAGCAAATAAATGTTCCCACTTTCCCATCAAAACAAACCGCAATGCTATGAAATGATATCTTGAACAGAACTCCAATTGGGAAATAGCAAATATATCAGCTAGTACTCTGTGGACTTAATAATCAGGTTTCAAAGTGAGCACTTGTATGTGATGGTGAAAGTTATTTTAGAAAGAGCTGTTAGAGCAGATACAGAGATGGAAACTTGGATAGGCACATTGGCTGAAAGAAGACAGTTACACTCATGTAGTTATAATTAGATAAGGCGCCTCCAAATACATGCATGAATCAGCCACTGAACTCCTTAAGGTTGGGAATCATTGAAGCATGTGTCTACAGAGGATTCCTCTCTTGCAGACTGATTCTCTCTCTCTCTCCTGCCTTCAGAGAAGGAGAGCAGGTAGACAAAGCACGTGAAGGAATGCAGTTCCCAGACTTGCACAGGAAGTGGCCTGGACTGGTCTAAGTGCTCCTGTACCCAAGTATTTGTCCCATTGCCCTGGCCAGGACTTCCTGTTCCACTTTGTTAACAGATTTGGAGTCCCACTGTCAGGAGTCACAGAGCAGAAGCCCTAGATTTCAAGGAACAATCAGACAGGGTGTTTTACATACTGTTGATGCATAGACTATAAAATTAATTACAGTGCAAATGGCAAATGGTTACACATAACCTAATTCACACATCCTGATTTCTGTTTACTACTACCATTTACCACAACCGAGACAGAGAAAATTTTTATGTAAATAGCCAGTGACCAACAGAGATCTAATACAGTGGGCACACATGTATGTATGTGTTTCTAAAGACATGTACAAATTCAGACACATGCATTCATACATGTGGGCACACACATATACATATGTATGCATACGTGATCAAATAAATGCTCTACTGGAAATCTTTGCAAAATTATAACACTAATAAATGAAGTGTAAAGAAATATGCATTACTGATGCAAAATGTTGATTTGCCAAAATGAAACCTTGCAGAGTTGCAAACTTAAATGAAATTTTTATCAACTGCAATAATTATCCTGTGCAGTAGAGATCTTCTGAGCTATTCATAAAAGCTTCTGAGGAAATTTTTTTTTGAAATAGACCTTATTCAGAGCAGTTTTGGGGTCACAGCAAAATTGAACAGAGGGTATGGAGATTTCCCATATGCTCCCTGCTCCCCTACACCCACAGCCTCCCCAATTAACAATATCTCCCACTAGAGTGGTCTATTTGTTACATGGATGAACCGACATTGACATACCATCATCATCCAGAGTCCAGAGTGAACATGAGGGCTCACTCTTCATGTTATACATTCTGTAGGTTTGGGCAAATGTACAATGACATGTGTCCATCACTGTAGTATCATACAGAGTAGTTTCTCTACCTTAAAGTCCCCTGTGCTCCACCTGTTCCTCCCTTCCTCCTCCAACCCCTGGCAACCACTTATCTTTTTACTGTCTCCATAGTTTTGCCTTTCCCAAAACGTCATATAGAATGCAACCTTTTCAGATGCATTTCTTTCACTTAGTAATATGCACTTAAGGTTTTTCAGTGTCTTTTGGTGGCTTGATAGCTTATTTCTTCTTAGCACTTAATAATATCCTGTTGTATGGATGGATCACTGTTTATTTATCCACTCATCTACTGAAGGGTATCTTGATTGCTTCCAAGTTTTGTCAATTATGAATAAAACTTCTGTGAACATCTATGTGTGGTTTTTTTGTGGACATAATTTTTCAACTCCTTTGGACAAATACCAAGGTGCATGAGTCCTGGATCCATGGTAAGAATATCCCTATAATCCCAGCACTTTGGGAGGTTGAGGTGGGAGGATTGCTTGAGCCCAGGAGTTTGAGACCAGCATGGGCAACAAAGTGAGACATCATCTCAAAAAAATTTTCTTAATTGGCTGGGTGCAGAAGTGCACACCTGTAGTTCCAACTATTCAGGAGGCTGAAGCGGGAGGATTGGTTCAGCCCAGGAGGTCAAGGCTGCAATGAGTCATGATTACACCACTGCACTCCAGCCTAGGCAACAGAGCATGGCCCTGTCTCTAAAGAAATTAAAATAAAAAAATTAAAAAAAAAAAAGTAGAGGGCTGGGCACAGTGGCTCATGACTGTAATCTCAGCACTTTGGATTGCTTGAGCCCAGGAGTTCGAGACCAGCCTGGGCAACAAAGCAAGAGCCTATCTCTAAAAAAAATTAAGAATATGTGTAGTCTTGTAAGAAACCACCAAACTTTCTTCCAAAGTGGCTGCAAATGGACCATTTTACCTTTCCATCCGCAGTGAATGAGGGCTCAGTGTTCTGGATTTTAGTATCTCTAATAGGTGTGTAGTGGTTTATCATGGTTGTTTTAATTTGCATTTCCCTGATGACAGATGATATGGACCATTTTTTATATGCTTATTTGCCATCTGTAGATCTTTGGTGAGGTGTCTGTTCAGAACTTCAGCCCATACCATTTACTTTATCTCTGACAAATAAGTGTATAGAATTGACACAATAAACCAGCAGACACTTAAGACAACCCTGCTGAGACAACCTCAGAAGAGGGAGAAGTCCTGATAGAAATCCTGCCTTTACTTTTTGAAATTTGATTTAAAAAAAATAAGGTAGTAATTCGAGGGATCTCCAATCACAAGGCTTTGGAAAGGACTGGAAAGTCTTAATTGGCTGCTGATAAATGTTTGATTAGAAATATTCTCTTTAAAATGTTTAAATTTACTCACCTGATGAAAACTTTCACACATTGATTTTGGCTTCTCATTATGAAGCTAATACTGAGGACGGTTTTTCCCGGTATTTTATTTCTCAAATTTTCACTGGTCATTTTTCTCAGGACAATTTGCCAAGAGCAGAATTCTAAACAGCCAAAATCCCATCTAATCCTTTACTCACTAGTAGTAAAAAGTACTATAATGTGGTATAAAGAGAGAGTGGGTTGGTGGGGGAATTAGGTGATTTGAAAGATAACTTTGGAAAGTTTGTAAACCAGCATGATTGTGTGGTGTGTGTGTGTGTGTGTGTGTGTAGTTAACACTGGATTTAGACATCAAGGCACAGTTTACAACTCCTAGGCTGATAATCTCATCTGGCCTGAATTCTCATCTTTACACTTCACCGATTTCTGATTTCCTGATTGGCCTCAGGCAAGTCACTTCCAGTTGCCCACAGTGGTTACCATGGCCCTGCTCAACCAGTCTGTGTGGATTTGAGCTCTCTCTCAACTGCTTATGAACCGTGTAACTTTGGGCAAGTTACTAAACCTTCTTGTGCGTCTGTTTTCTCATCTGTGAAATGAGCGTAACAGTTTCTAGTCCACAGAGCTGTGACGGGGGCAGGGGGGAGCGAATGAGATCATGCGTGTACAGTATTGCTTGGACCATCATAAATACTCAATACATATTGGCTCATTGTTATTAGCTGAGTCATAGTTTCCTCATATACTGCATAAGAGGGTCGGACCAAGTGACCTCATGAATTCTTTCGATCAGTCTTAAGGAAAACCCTATCATATGGAATGTAGCTACCCAATCTTCCAAAATCTCTGCAGCCACAGAGCCCTCATCACCACACTGCTGGTTGTGCAGGCTTCATTGATTCCTATTTTACATGCAATTCTAACAACTGCATTTATTCAATTTCTCAGACGACAGCAAATCAGATGCCCAAATTAGGAAGGAGAAAGAATGCTGAAAGAAAAACGCCTTGGGAGCCAGAGTGATTGCAAATTGTCTGGCATTAGGGAAAGACAGACTAAACAATTGTTACCACAGAATAATGTGCCTGTGCACTACCATGACGCCAACGTCACTAAAAACTTTTGAATTACATTTAGTATATTACTTACGGCAGTGATCAATTTTAAAGCTATTTATATCAAAAATTATTAGCATGTTATAGGTTTGGGGATTATCAGTTTCTGGTTGTTTTTCTTATGGGAAAAATGTCCCTGGTTGCTGTTTAGGTCTCTCCCAGACTTGCTGGCCCTCTCTGGTCTCTCCTGGTGGGGCCTCCCTGCACCACACCGACTGGGTAGGGCTGTGCACAACAGTTCTCTCCCAACAGGAAGGTTGACATGGGATTAGAGAATAACAACCCAGGTAGCCAGCACTGATACAGCAGTGCTGTTGTGTGTATGTTTGACTTCAAACTCCAGCCACATTCATGCTTACACCTCAGTAATAAGCGTGAGTTTACCATTAGAGTTTACTATCTATTAGTGCCATTAGCGAGTAACAACTACTTACTATCTATTGGTGTTATCAGAGAGTAACAACCCAGGTAGCCAGCACTGATTACAGCAGGGCTGTCCTGTGTACATTTGACTTGAAACCCCAGCCACACTCACGCTTACACCTCAATAATAGTGATCTCTTTCCTTGGCCCTCATATCACCTGCTTCTTTTCCAACCTAGGAGGTAATGCATTCAATTAAGACTTTACTAGACCTAGATAAAGGTCTGAATCCTGTCTCAATCACTTGTCTACTATGCAACTTTGGGCAAGACAGACATTTGTATTTTGCACATCATTTTCTCGTCTATAAGATGTGGATAGTAATGCCGTACCTCCCAAGGCTCTCGAGGGGAGTCAATGAGACTGTGGAGGTCAAGCACAGAGCCGGGAGACAGGAGGTGTTCAAGGGGGAGTAGCAATTCCTGGTGCCCATTTTAATTGCGTCTAGGATTTTGACAGGCCTTCCCAACCACAGCTCATCACACTACGTAGGAGGCATAGTGGGTGAAGTGTAGGTTTGGAGTCAGATAGACCCAGATTGGAATGCCCATTCTATTGGTTGCCATCTGGGTGGCCATGGGCAAAGTATTTAGGCTTTTTGAGGCTCAGTTTCTCCCACTTGTATACTGGGGATACCACCACTCTCCTGCAAGATTTGTTGTGATAATTTCATCAGAAACATATTTAAGAGGAGTCTCATAGGAGTGGGTGATTAACATTTAAAATATCTATATTGAGGCCGGGCGCGGTGGCTCATGCCTCTAATCCCAGCACTTTGGGAGGCCGAGGCAGGTGGATCACGAGGTCAGGAGATCAAGACCATCCTGGCTAACACAGTGAAACCCCATCTCTACTAAAAAAATACAAAAAAATTAGTTGGGCATGGTGGTGGACGCCTGTAGTCCCAGCTACTCAGGAGGCTGAGGCAGGAGAATGGCATGAACCCAGGAGTCAGAGCTTGCAGTGAGCTGAGATCATGCCACTGAGCTCCAGCCTGGGCAACAGAGTGAGACTCCATCTCAAAAATATATACATATATGTAAATATATTTATTATATGTATTTTATACATATAAGATATATATATACACACACATATATATAGAGAGAGAGAGAGAGCCTGTACTCTTCAAAGCAGTTTCACTGACATTATCTTATTTTATTCTTACAGAAACCCTGTAAGGTAGTTGGGGCAGGTATTTTCTGCCCATTTAAAGAGAAAGAAAGAAGCTAAGTGATGCTAAGTGTTTAATCCAACATCACATAGCCCATAAATGTGCCAGGGTCCAAACTAGAGTCCAGGCTTCTGCCTCATGCACTAATGATTTTCTACATAGGTAAGATCATTTCGGCACTGCAGATTTCCATTGTAAACATAGAGGAGAAGGCAAAACAAGTGAACACATCTTTCCTCACACTCTTCTAGCAGCTTTAGAATGTGTGCAATGACCTTTTCAGCAGCAGGTGATAGAAAGCCCCATCACCAACTAGCTTAAATAGCAAGGAAATGTACTATTTCACATAACTGCAAATTCAGAGAATGAAAGGAGAGCTCCAGGCTCAGTATGATCATCAGCACAATCATGTCAATGAAGACTGTGTTTCTTTCTGTCTTACCTCCCTGCAGGCATCAATTTCACCTTAAGGTTGGTCACCCTCATGGTCATCAGGTGGCTGCCCATGGCAATTAGAACTACAGAGTTCTCTTGTTCATGTCTGGCAGGACCAAGAGAGAAAGCTCTCCCTCAAGCACTGGGTGTAAGTGCCCCCATCAGTCTGTTGGGTCTACTACTATAGACCTACCCCTGGGCCAGTAAGAGAAAACAGATAAATGCCTGCACTTACTGCCCCAGATTAAGCATGATCTGCTCCCACAGTGGAGAACGAAGTCGTCTGCTCCTTAGTCATCAGAGGGAGGGGTGAATGTATAAGTAATTAGGTTCTTAATTAATGAGTACAGGGGCACAGGTGTTGGGTGGATAACCAACAGTATCCACAATGTGGGGCAATAATAAAATTCATTACCGAATTATTGCAACACATTTCCATTTTTAGTCCACCTGCATTCTTCTTCACCAAAACATTGATTTCAGGTGATTATTGAAATAAAAATTGTGAAGACAGCAGGCAAAGACATTTGCTCACACATTATTTTTATGTCTTTTATGACTTTATTATCTTAACTTAAAATCAAGCATGAAGCCCTTTCAACCTTTTATATGAAATAGAAGAAAGGCGATGAGCATTTTTATAAACCCAAGTTTTATTGAGAGAAATCAACCTGGAACAAAGATAGATTTGATATTTCTAAAAATAAAATTTAATGGTACAGAGCCATTTGATTGAGAAGAAATATATAAAATAAAATTGGGAGCATGATACGATGGGGAAAATTTAAGGCTAAAAATTAGGGGAACCTCTGTTTTTGATCCACCTCTGTCACCGACAAATTATATGTCCATGAGTAACTCACTAAGAATAAAACTAAATCAGTGGTTGCAAACTGGCAGCCCACAGGTCAAATCTGGTCCAAGACATGATTTTTCTTTCTTTCTTTTCTTTTTTGGCTAGCACTTAAGATTCAGTCGTATCTCAGATAACCCTATTGTTAGTAGCATAAGAAAATTTCTGAAAGTAAACACAGCCACCAAAACTCTAGAGACCAGATGCCAAAGGTTCAAAGTCACTTACAATGAAAATATACATACAAGTTATCCCAGAGCCAATAAAAATGCATCATATTATCAAGATATCAAGAAATAAATATCTTCACTCAGAATTACTGTTGGTCCATTGTGGTTGAAAGATTGTTTATGTAGTTAAAGTCAAAATCTTTATATTGCCTGTATTATAGGACCCAGATCTGTTAGAAGAAGAAGAAGAAAAAATAGTGTTTTAAAAAGACAGTTCCCCAAATTGGTTTCTCTGGAGGATTTAATTTAACTTCATGCTGAAGTAGAATGAAGTCGATCCTGCCGAAGAGTTCACGTGTTCTGAATGTGGAAATTAGCTCTTCTGTGGAATCAGAAGGATTTGCAATTTGTATAAATGAATGTTTCTTTTACTCAGTTTACTTGCAAAACAGTGCCTGACTCAGTTTCACCAAGTAATAGTGAAACCTTTGTCGAGTTGGAAAGTACTCGCCTTTCAAAGAAGAACCACAGAGCTCTTTTGAGACCATGAAATGTGTTTCCTGATGAGCGTCTCAGAATCTATGCTAACATAGGTAATGCATTTTTCTTTTCACCCCCCAGAACTCATTTATCCTGATTAGAAGTTTTTGGCACACCTCGAATATTACATAATCAGACATCAGTACAGAAGCTCTTAGCCTCTTGTCACTGTTCAGGCTAAGCCATCGCCAGTGTTGTAACATCATTGATATCGCCAGAAGATAACTCAAAGTTGTCTACTGGCTATATAATTTGTCAGACATTAATAGTGACTAGGGCTATCAGTAAACATACAGTACTTTTTGTCTTCTTTTCCTGATAGTGGTTTTGATAAGATTTAAAGTAGCCTCAGCTTTAGCTTCCTTAAGTACTGGGATGTGTGTGTGTTTTAAACGGGTGGCTTAAAATGTCGGATGCCATCATCTTCTCTAACTGTAAGCCAAAGAATTGCCACATTTTCTGACTTCTTTTGTCAGTTTTTGACATTTGCTTTCCCTTGTTGGAAAAAGTTGTCTTTTCAATGTGTTAGTCTTGATCCATTGAATGTAATGAAAGCTAACCTCAAGGAAATTCTCAGGAAAGTCCCCAAAGAAGGGAGGTTCTCCATTAGCAGGTAAAACATTCTCCAAAGATCCTCAGCAGGTTGCTTTTTGAAAACCTCAGCAATTTAGTAGAAAATAGCACATAAATTATATGTTAAACTTTTATTACTTAAATGCAGTTGATTTCTAATGGAGGAGGAGGGAAGATTTTCCCTAACTGTGGTTAGGAAGCTGAACAACGAAATGAGATTAATTTTTAACAAACGAATCAATCAGTACAGTGAAATTTCAGAAATCTTCCACTGAATTAACCCATGTGATCTTTTAAAAACTAATCTTGGCCAAGTGTGGTGGCTTACTCCTGTAACCCCAGCACTTTGGGAGGCCAAGGCGGGCAGATCTCTTGAGGTCAGGATTTCGAGACCAGCCTGGCCAATATGATGAAACCTCATCTCTACTGAAAAATTAAAAAAATTAGCTGAGTGTGGTGGTGCCCACTTGTAATCCTAGCTGCTCTGGAGGCTGAGGCATGAGAATCGCTTGAGCCTGGGAGACAGAGGTTGCAGTGAGCTGAGATCATGCCACTGCACTTCAGCCTGGGCGACAGAGCAAGACTCTGTCTCAAAAAAAATAAATACATAAAAAATAAACAAAAACAAACAAACAAACAAATGAATCTGATAAAATAACACAGGTTAAAAAAACTTTACTAACCCTCTTAGATTAATATTTCAAAGCTCTTTAACATCTGCCCACTTTACCTCTACAGAATTTTCAACATAACATCTTTGCATAAAACATTCATTCCAACCAACCGGTTCTACTCCCTGCCATGCAATCTTGACTGTTCCTTCTCATTGCCACTGTGCCCTGTGTGTGTCCTGGCCTTAGCTGCTTTCATTTTTCTCTCTGATTATCTCCTAGGCTAAATTCAAGTCATGCTTCCTCCACAAAGTTTGTGCAAATGACTTTCTCTCTGAATCTCTAGAGTACTGATGGTCCATCCTCAACAATTTAAGATCTCTTAGATTATTGCTATCATTTTATGTCTGTATTACTATTTCCAATTGACCAGGCACTTTTATTTTATGTGCTTCCAGGAGATTTTCAGTTCCTAAAGATGTCTTGTACTTGTCATTGTGTCTCTCCAATACCTTACCCAATGGCTTGCACATGGCTGACTGTCTCATACATTCTCTAATCTGTATAGTCCAGCTGATCTAGTTAAATCATTTAACCTGAATCAAAAGACTAAGTGATGGACTGTTATGGAATAGTGGTAAAAATTTTAATCATATTTGTAGTCCAGGTGCCTTTAATAGATAGATTTCCAGATCTGCCACTTACTAGATAGTGACTTATCTTGGACAAGTCATTTCACCTTTTATAGCCCCAGTTTTCTTCATCTGTAAAATTGAAAGAATAATAATGACTCTCTTGCCTATTTCACTAGATTACTGAGAGAAGCAAATGATGTAATGTCTTTGAAGGTGTTTATACAAAGTCAAGTATCTTACAAATATGAATGATCCTAGTTGGGCAAATGAAACACTATTTTTAGAAATCCCATATCAAATGCAGTCAGGAACTCCTAAACTGATCAAGACTGGTGTGATCAAGATCATTTTAAGGCATATTATGATCAATTTTAAACAGTGCTGTGAGTCAGATTGCTATCCTTGCCTTACAGGTGGAAGTTTGATGTTATCTAGAAGCAAATGGTTTAAGTAAAATCACTGACAGCACCACTATGAGATGTCTTTACTGTTCCAGTTGGTAGCTTTCAGTCTATTTAGCACCACTGCTTCCTCCTAAACTTTTCTTTAAGCCTCATTAAAGTTCTGATTCTTAGGGATTAATATAAGCAGACACTGATAATATCAAGCTCTCCTCTCTATAATTCCAAGAACCCTTGGAATTAGCATAAATTACATTCCTGAATCCATCATTTGGTTCCATATCTCTTCAAAGTCTTTTCTGACCCTTCTCATCACCCTCAAATCCATGTCCCTTTCTCATAAGCTCAGTTCTTTGCCATTCCATCATTACTAACTTCCTGTAAGACATCTCCACTTGGATGTCTCACAAAAATCTTGAATTTAAGAAAATCAAGGGGCTAAGGCAAGCAGACTGCTTGAGGTCAGAAGTTCAGGATCAATCTGGAAACATGGTGAAACCCCATCTCTACAAAAAATACAAAATTTAACCAGGCATGGTGGTAAGCACCTGTAGTCCCAGCTACTTGGGCGGCTGAGACAGGAGGATCACTTGAGCTGGGGAGGTCAAGGCTGTAGTGAACGTATTCAGGCCACTGAACTCAAGCCTGGGTGACAGAGCAAGCCTCTGTCTCCAAAAAAAAAAAAGAAAGAAAAGTACATAAAAGAAAAGAAAAACTAAACAAGAAAAGAAAAGCTAAACTTGTTGCCTGTTCCTGTCTCACCCCTCCTGTTCTGAAACCCACAACTCTTTCTGTGTTGTCCAGCTCAGGACACGCAGTGTCATCCATCCCATGGCCAAAACCCAAAACCTGGGAGTTAGTCTTGCCTCACTCTTTTTCAAGCCTTACTCACTGCTGTGATTCTGTCTCCTGTCCATCTCATTAATTCGCACACACTCCTGTGTCTCCATTGAGACTTTGGCTTGGCTCATTGATTGCTTAGATTACCGCAACAGTCTTCGAACTATCCTCACCTTCAGTTTGTCTCTCTCCAATCCATTGTCACTTCTGTAACCAGAGTAACCCCTTTAAGATGCAAACTTAATCCTATCAATTCCTGGCTTAGGATCTTTCACTGGGTCCCCATTTCCCTCTGTAAGGGGGACGTAAGATGAAATGTACATCCAAACTTCTCCACATGACAGCCAGAGTCTCCCGTACCCAGGTCATCTCTCCCCTTCCTTTAAGCCTTAACTTAGTTGCCAATGTCTCCTAGAAGATTTTTCTATAAAGTCACATCCAATAATCAACTGGTTAGTGCCCTACAATTGCCCAAATGAACATTCTCCCACTCTTATAATTGAGTTCAACTTGCCTAAGCACCCTGTAAACTTGAAACCTCCTTCATGACAGGACCATTCCTTTCACCAACTTATCTCAGTTACTCTTGATCCCTAAACACCATCTCCAGGGTTAGGTGCATGATATACTCTCAGTAAATAAGAAAGACAATGTACTCTCCCTTCCTCTTTCATATTTCCCTTTATTTCCAAATATTCTACCTCTTCTGCTCTGTTAGATTTCATGAATCACTGCCAGCCATGGTGGCTCACTCCTGTAATCTCAGCACTTTGGGAAGCCGAGGCAGGCAGATCACCTGGGGTCACGAGTTCAAGACCAGCCTGGCCAACATGGTGAAACCCCATCTCTACTAAAAAGACAAAAAAAAAAAAATTAGCCAGGCGTGGTGGCAGGTGCCTGTAATCCCAGCTACTTGGGAGGCTGAGGCACGAGAATTGCTGGAACCCAGGAGGCAGAGTTTGCAGTGAGCTAAGATCACGCCACTGTACTCCAGCCAGGGCGACAGAGGAGGACTCCACCTCAAAAAAAAGAAAAAAAAAGATTTTGTGAATCATGTTTATTTCAGGAAATCTTCCTAATGCCATCTGCTCCAGTCAGCCCTTATTCTGCTTCGCCTTTGAATGTATTCATCGAATGCGTCTCATGTAGCACTTTTTGGAATGCTTTAGAAGAAGATTGTGAGGTTCAGGTCTGGGTATGTAGTGTGTCCTAACATCAATGATAAGCTGCATGGGTAAGCAATCAGGGGTAATCTTCAGTTACCCCTGATCTCCTACCTTCGTAGCAGTCATATAATGCTTATTCAAGGCTATTTAGAATGTGCCATCACCCCTTCCAGTGTTCACATCCCGACCTCCTGTGATTCATGGTTCATTATGCATCTTTCTCTCTTCACTCTCAGGTAACACCAAAGGATGGTTCATTACGTTGCCCCATTGCAGAGATCCAGAGTGCTCATGGACAGGGCCAGAAAGTCTGAGTGGATGTGCCCTACTGAGAGCCAGCCTTGACTTTAAGAGCAAAGATGTGCTTTCTCGGAGATCTAGGGCTCTTGCTTTTATATTCGACAAGTTGTTTTCAACACTTCAGTCTTTTCAGCTGTTGGGAGAAGGACTGTAAGATTCCTGCCAACTCTACACAAGAAATATTACAGAAGTGCTCATCACCAAAACAAATGACTGATGTGACTGTTGACCTATGAGTGTCAAAATTAACTTACCACAAGAGAGAAAAACGTCTTTAATATGTTTAAAACATGTTCTGAAAGGGGACAGAAAGGATGGAGCCCGAGCACCTAATATTGTCATTTCACTGTCACACAGCCTGTGCCCACAGCATGAATTTTCCTAGGAAATGTCACTCTGATGCCTTCTATGTAGAAGAAACTTGAATTGTCAAATACTCACCAAACTAGCACAGTCTTCCAAAAACCAGGAAGACCTGGAACCAAACAGAAAATGAATATTCAGCCAAGCATGAAACTTTCAAAGAAAATAAACTGCATCTATCCCTATTAAACTCTTTGTTCATTCTAAATAAAAACAATTTAATTAATTCACTTAGGCAATTCCACACCAAATATCTAGTAATTGAGGGAAACCTACATATGAGAAAAGAGGGAGTAAACAGTTAAGGACAGTGGCCTGAAAAACCTGTAAAGTTGATTCCATTCAATTTTAATTGTATACAGATAGTCACTGCCTCAGCCACAATATCAGATGGCGTGGTCTGTGTTTTAGATATTCTTTTGTTCCAGCATGACTATCTACATAACATCAGAATTGCCATCTGATTGAGCAACTACAACTGCCACAGAGAGATTTCTTTTTATCTTACTTTAGTAACAATACTCTGTGTGTGTGTGTGTGTGTGTGTGTGTGTGTGTGTGTGTGTGTAATATGGGGTAATGACTCTTTGAGATATATTTTACAAATTTTAAAAATTAATAGAAACTTACCAATCCTAATTTCTTATTTTCATGTATTTGCACATTATATCAGTCATGTTATTCTCATTTTTAATCTACATAGTAGATTTATGCTGCAATATGTAGTTACCTTCCATATTTCCTAATTTGGAAGTGTTTGAATTGCTTAAAACGTGAGACTTTACAAATGGTTCTGCTATATATATATATCTTTATTCAGATTTCTCTTTTGCATACCTGCCTAATAATTGAATGAATGGATCTAGGTCTAGAAGAGTGTCTAGCTCCTTTTACATCATTGCAGGTTTGTGTCTAGCAAAATTAAACCAATTTATAAATGTATAAATTCCACCAATGGCAGTCATATATGAATGTATGTCCCCTGGATCCTCGCCTTCAGTGATTTTTTTTAAAAAATTGTCTATTGTTTTGCTAGCTTAATTAGCATACAAAGATACCTAAAATTTGAATAACTTTCATTTATTTTACTATTAATGAGTGTGTATATTGTGTTTGCCATGGTCCCTTACTACTTCATTTCTATGATGGAAATCTACAGACCACAACCGTGAGTGAAGTGCTGTGTCAAGATCATAAAGATGACCAGGGCATCACTGGTACCCTCAAAGGGCACATAGTATAAATGAAGGATACAAACGTAAAAGGAAAACCACAACAAAAAATAAGTTACACCAAAAAAATTAAATACTATATAGCAATAAAAAGGAATGAGCTGCTGACACGTGCAACATCAGATAAGAACTTCAGAAGCATGAAGCTAGGTAAAAGAAGGAAGACTCAAAAAGCCATATACAGCACGATGCCACTTATATAACATTCTGGAAAAGTCAAAACTATGTTAACAAAAAACACAGGAGCAATTGCCAGGGACTGGGAGAGGGGAAGGGGGCTGACTAGGAGTGGGTGATAGAATATTCTGTATCTTGATTATGGCATGATGTCAAAATGTGTAGAGCTGTACACCTTAAAAGGATGGATTTTACTAAATATGATTGATATCTCTACAAATCTGATGTTAAAAAGGGAGAAGTGAAATGGTTGACGGTATCTGCTGAGAATGAAGATTCTCAGATCAGGCTGCTGGAATTTGTATCTCTTTCCTATCCCTTACTGACTATGTGGGTCTACACAATTATTTAACCTCTCTGTGCATCAACTTGTTCATCTTTGAAACGGGTATAATAGTGCCTACTTCATGGTATTATTAGGAGAGATAATCAGTGCAACATATCTGGAATATGATAACAGCTCAATAGATTTTGTTTCTTTTTTCTTTTTTCCAAGTGCTACAATGGAGTTTTTGTTTGTTTGTTTGTTTGTTTGTTTTTATAGAGGGAGTCTCGCTCTGTCACCCAGGCTGGAGTGCAATGGCACAATCTCCGCTCACTGCAACCTCCACCTCCTGGGTTCAAGAGATTATCCTGTCTCAGCTTCCCAAGTAGCTAGAACTACAGGTGCCCACCACCACACCTGGCTAATTTTTGTATTTTTAGTAGAGACAGGGTTTCACCATATTGGTCAGGTTGGTCTCAAACCCTCGACCTCAGGAGATCCACCAACCTCGGCCTCCCAAAGTGCTGGGATTACAGGCTTCAGCCACTGTGCCCAGCCTACAATAGAGTATTACACAATGAACAATGAAATATGGTAACATTGGGGCAGGGTGCAGTGGTTCATGCCTGTAATGCCAGCACATTGGGAGGCCAAGGCAGGAGAATCACTTGAGGACAGGAGTTCAAGACCTGCCTGGGCAACAAACGAAGACCTTGCCCTATAAAAAAATAAAAATAAAAGAATTAGCTGGTGGTGCATGCCTGTAGTCCCAGATACTCAGGAGACTGATGTGGGAGGATTGCTTGAGCCCAGGAGTTCCAGGCTGCAGTGAGCTATGATGGCACCACTGCACTACAACCTGGGCAACAGAGTGGGACCCCAGCTCTAAAAGAGAAAAGTAAATGGGCAAATGGTCAGAAAAGCCAATTCATAGAAGAAGGAATACAGATACCCACAAGTAACAGAAAGATAACTTTAGCCTAACTACTAATCAGAAAAATCTATATTAAATATAAACAGCACTTTTGTTTACAAAATAAGCAAAACTTTTCTTTTCCTTTCTTTTTTTTTTTTTTAAATTGAGAATGAGACCCAGGGTGGAGACAGATCCAACACTGAAAGATAAACCTTTATAGAAAACTACATGGCATGTGTACCAAGGGCAGGAAAGTATTAAAACTCTTTATTCTTATCATTTTTTAAAATTTTTTTCCTAGAAAAGCATCAGCAAAAATCAGAGGGATCTATGTGTGAGCGCAATTATTGTGTTATATTTATAGGAGAGAAAAAAGTGGCAACTCCCTAAATATTAGAGGAAAGGTTAAATAAATTTTGATATATGCATACTGTATTGTAACAAATATATATCTGTTTTTTTGGAAATTACTAAATGGGCACAGGAAGATAGACAACCAAAACACAATCTTTTTGAAGTGGCAGAATCTGCCTCTTGAAGGAAAATAGAAGTCTCCCAGGTGCAGAAAAATGAGGACTTGGATTCCAGGCAGAAGAAGATTCTGTGCAATAGAGGTCAAAAAGCTAAGGACTCTCATGGCCTGGGAAGGTCACCTAATCCAAAGCAGTTAGAGTATAGAGGTCCCAGGAGGAAGCAACAAGATGCAAAGTGAAAAAACTAGGCAGCTCCAGGTAGTAAAAGCCTGTACAGGCTGGGCGCAGTGGCTCATGCCTGTAATCCCAGCACTTTGGGAGGCCAAGGCAGGCGGATCACCTGAGGTCAGGAGTTCAAGACCAGCCTGGCCAACATGGTGAAACTCCTTCTTTACTAAAAATACAAAAATTAGCTAGGCATGGTGGTGCGTGCCTGTAATCCCAGCTACTCGGGAGGCTGAGGCAGAAGAATCACTTGAACAATCCAGGAGGTAGAGGTTGCCATGAGCTGAGATCACAACATTGCACTCCACCCTGGGCAACAAGAGCTATCCCAAAAAAAAAAAAAAAGAAAAAAGCTTGTACATCAGGCTAATATGTCTGAACTCTTTTTGCAATCACAAACCTTTAGAGCTCGTAAGAAGAGGCTTAACACAATTGTTTGACTTTAGAAAGCACCTTCAGCAGGTAGGAACATCTCATTTTCCTCCTTTGGACATTTAACAGATGGAATTAGATATTTTTAAAAGAAGCTTAAAAATGAATAGTGGGGGTTATCTACCAAGCTCAGTACACTAAGAAGGTGGTTACAAATGCAGCAAGAGGCACAGTGATTTAAAACACCTCCTCGGGAACTCACAAATATTTGTTGAATCCACTGTTTTCAAAGAAAGGCAATTCCATTATTGCCAAAACCCATGTTTGTTGTTTGGTTTGGATGATTTTCTAGCAAAGACTTGCTTCCCCTACTTTGATCTGTTTTTCTCCCCTTCTTGGCTGTTCTGTCCCACTTTTCGAGCCTAGTTTCACCTCTGGTATTTCTCAGTCATATTTCTTTATTCTCGATAGGTTAATCAGCTAACACCTCTGCCGTGTGGTATCCCAAAACAGCAACCCAGTTAAGCTGAGCCTTTCCCCTTTACTTTCCAATCTTTGAATCATCATTTTGCAAAATGGCAGTCACTGCTTCTAAACAGTGATCAAGGCTTGGGGTGGTTACACCCTGGGCGAAATACAAGTCTCCTTGGCCAAACTTTTATCAGAAGGCGTTGCAGAAACTCATTAAGGCACTTGAGTCAAAGATCCAGGTGAATCATTCTAAACCTCCACCCAGTTCAACTTTCCCTCTGGTAATAATTAATTATGTTTTTCCCCTCTCGCACTCCCACCTCCACCAGCACTCAATCACATGTTCCACCGGGCCACACACTCAGTCTGAGTTGCAAACTCACCTGAGGTTCACTTGCTTGGCACTTACAGGAGACAGATAAGAAAGAAAATGTCTATGGCTTGTCTACATCATGCCTGGCAGTAGGAAAAAAAAGTCTCAAAACCTAGCCCTAAGAGTCATGCAGCTTGATCTTAAACAGCACATGCTATTCAGCTTCACAGTTTAATGCTCTAATAAGGAGAATGTAAGGAAAATACTTCACCTGAAAATATTCAAGTGATAGTGTGCTACCTTATTAATTATTCAAATACTTGTTCTAACTTGCATTATTAGGCCCAGTCTGAATACAGAATTGATGGATCTTAGAAGTGAAAGTATTCACAGAATGTGCATGGGCTCTCCAATTAATGAGACTGGATTTGAATACCTGCCCTCTCACCTATCAGCTGAGTGACCTTAAGCAAGTCCTTCTACTTCATAGAGCCATGATTCCATCTATTGGGATAAAAACCATGTCAGAGGATAGCCATGTGGATTGATTGTAACAATCTATTCAATGCTAGACAGGACTACCTCTTTCGGAAATAATCATGAAAACAATAAGCAAACAACCTGATAACATTTACCCTTCTAAACATTCTAGCTAAATCAGCTAACTCACTTAATCCTGTCAAAAACCTCATGTGGGGGATACTACCAATATGCCTACTTTACAGATGGGGAAACTGAGACACAAAAAGGTGAATTTCTTCATTCAAGATCATGAAGATATGAATTGAATAACCTGGATCTGAACCCAGAATCCATCCACGACAATGCCTCTGAATTTATCCCCGTCTCTCCTTCAAGAATAAGAAGGGGTAAACCGACAGTCTCAAAAATTCAAAGTCATACTGAAGGTCATTAATTGAATCGGAGGCTAGGACCTATAAGCCTAAGTCTGCCAATCCTATTCTAGTGCAATTTCCCTAAGAAACAAAACACAGATGAACAAGAGACAGAATAAAGCACTGAATAAATGCAGACAGTGGGTTTTGAATAATGAATGAGAACGTTTCACTACTGCTCTGTGGCTGTGAGGAGTCTGTTACAGTGACCAGTTAGCTGCTAATTACTTATTTTGAAATAACCATATCAAGTCCTTACCCTGCTTAAGGATCAAATCTATAATACCCTGGAAAGACCCTATCTCAGGAGCTCTAAAGAAGAGGAAATCGTCTTCCATACTGACACTGTGGCTTATACTTTCTTTTTTGTTTTTGTTTTGAGAAAGGGTCTCTTTTTTCACCCAGACTGGAGTACAGTGGCACAGTCATAGCTCACTGTAGCCTCTACCTCCTCGGCTCAAGCAATCCTCTAGCCTCAGCCTTCTGAGTAGCTGGGACTACAGGTGCATGCCATTATGCCTTTTTAATTTTTTGTAGCTTTGGGGTCTCACAATGTTCCCCAGGCTCATCTCAAACTAATGAGCTCAAGTGATCCTCCTGCCTCAGCCTCCCAAATTGCTGGGATTACAGGCATGAGCCACTGCACCTGGTCATAGCCCACCCTTTCTTTATGCTATGCTGACGTCATAATTGGAGTTGGCCCCTGCAACACTCTAAAGTAGGCAAGACTGGATTTCGGTGCCATGTCCCACTCTCCCTCCAAGTGTTCCCCACTCCCACTCCCATCCCCACCCCTGCCCTCATCATTATGGTGAAGTAACGAATCCCTGAAGGTAGAATGACAGATAATGGAGTTGACATGGCATAGTTCCTGACTAAGCCCCTTACAGTCACCTCTTAGAAACAGCTGCCTACCGGGTGGATCATGAAGTCAAGAGATCGAGACCACCATGACCAACATGCTGAAATCCTGTCTCTACTAAAAATACAAAAATTAGCTGGGCGTGGTGTCACGTGTCTGTAGTCCCAGCTACTTTGGAGGCTGAGGCATGAGAATGGTTTGAAGGCAGAGGTTGCAGTAAGCCGAGATTGTGCCACTGCGCTCCAGCCTGATGACAGAGCGAGACTCTGAAAAAAAGAAAAAAAGAAAGAAAGAAACAGCTGCCTACCCCACTTGCCCATGAGACAGCTCATTTACTTCAGTGTTACTTGTAGACCCAGTCTAAGCCTTCTAAGTCTCCTAGCCTTTAGAGATCATGAATGCATTTACCAAGTCAGGCTTCAATCTCTAGGTTCACAGGGTTTAGCCCATGCCCACCTGAATAGTTACACTGGCCGTAGGAGCCAATGAGGATAGAGTCAACCGTAGTTGAGGAGATGGACATGAGGACTTGGTATCTCTGCCTTGCCTGCTCCTGACCTGAGCCAAGAGAAGCCAAGGAAACCATTCCAGTTCTGATTCGGGAAGAGGTAATGGAGGTCAAGAAGAGTTGCATCTGACTTAGTTGAACAATTCAGTGATGGAGCTACCAGGTGTTAACAAGTGCGATAAGCACCAGTCATAGGAAAAACTTACTGGCATGATACGAACAATTAGTTAACATGTGTGTATGCTCTCACCATGTGCCAGACATTGTTCTGAGCTCCTTACCAGATTATCTCATTTAATATCCTTACTGCAATCCTTTGAAGTTGGTGCTATTATCACCATTTTACAGATGCGGAAACTGAAATGTAAAAAGGTTAAACAGCTTTTACCGAGCTTACATAGCAAATGAGAGAGACAGAACACAATCCCAGCAGTCTCCCAGAAGGTAGAATTCCTGAAGGTAGAATGGCAGGTAATGGAGTTGACATGGCATAGTTCCTGACAAAGCCCCTTAAAGTCACCTCTTAGAAACAACTGCCTACCGGGTGGATCAAGAGGTCAAGAGATCGAGACTACCCTGGCCAACATGCTGAAACCCGATCTCTACTAAAAATACAAAGCCTTTCTCCTTAAGTACTTTATTCTCAACAATCAAAAGCAAAGATTGGTAAGCTTTATCTGTGAACAATCAGACAGTAAATGCATTAGGCTTTGCACACGGTATAGTTCCTCTCACAACCACTCAACTCTTCCATTGTAAATCGAAAGCAGCTATCGCCAATACTTAATAGGCTTTTCTGTGTTCCAATAAAACTTTATGTTTATGTGAGAAAAATGTTTTTACAATTGACTTTCTTTGTATTGTATATACTTATAAATATGAAAAAATAAAAAACTTTATGTATAAACACTGAAATTTGAAAGTCATACCGTTTTCACATTTCTTCAAATATTCTTTTAATTTTTTCAATGATTTAAAAACATACAAACCATTCTTAGCTCACAGTCCCTATGAAAACCGGTGTCAGGCCAGATTAATCCACAAACCATAGTTTGTGACCCTTGATCAAGAGGATTGAAAGAAAATAAAAGCAAAGACATGTGGAGGGAAATATTAATCATAATGTTATCTCTGCCGCTTTTACATTGCATTTAGATCAACCTGAAAATAAAGCTGTCCATCCTTCCTTTTGATACCATCTGAACCCACACAGTCCAACTCCAGAACCTGGTTCAAATGTCCCTATTTAGCAAGCTGTGTGGCGTTGGGCAGTTTACTTAACTCTAAGCCACAACTTCCTCCTTACAACAACAGTAGTTATCCAACTTAATTGGTTGTTGTAGGTAATATGGTTTGGCTCTGTGTCCCCACCCAAATCTCATCTCAAATTGTAATCTCCACGTGTCAAGGAAGGGACCTGATGGGAGGTGACTGGGTCATGGGGGCAGTTTCCCCCATGCTGTTATTGTGTTAGTGAGTGAGTTCTCATAAGCTCAGATGGTTTTAAAGTATTTGGTAGTTCCCAAACTTGCTCTCTTTCTCTCTCCTTCCACCTTGTGGAGAAGATGCCTGCTTCCCCTTTGCCTTCCACCACAATTGTAAGTTTCCTGAGGCCTCCCTAGCCATGTGGAACTGTGAGTCAATTAAACCTCTTCTGTTTATAAGTTACCCAGTCTCAGGTAGTTCTTTATAGCAATGTAAAAATAGACTAATATAGTAGGCATTAAATTAAATAATAAATGTTAAGCAATTATCACAGCTCCCAAGCAGTGTAAATTCTCAATAAATATTAACTCTTATTACAACTACTATTATTAGCAGTACTAGTATTATAAACATCATAATCACCCCAGACTTAAAAATCAAAAAGAGTGCATCCCCCGGCATGCACCTCTGCAATTTGCTATTGACAAATTCTCTCCCTAGAGGGTGAATTTTAAAGGTCCTCTAAATCTCCTTTCCCTGGTCCCCACTATACTGTCACTCTATCACAACCCAAACATAGCCCCACAGGAAAAAAAAAAAAAATCCACCTTACTCTATCCTTTCACTGTTCTAGAAAAAAAGTCTCCTATGTGTAGCATCTAACAGAGTTCTTGCTACTTTTCTCAAGCTTACTGTCCTACTATAATCAGATTCATTCTAATCTGCAATTCTGACTGACATTTCACTCACCTGTCTTTAGTTTTTTTGGTGCTTATTTGCAATACTCATGGATCACAGTAAGAGCAAGAAGATACAAGACCTCTGTAATATACCCTCTCTGAACAACCACATTGATATCTCATTTAATCAGGCTACATGTGTGTAGAATGCTACTTCGGGTTGGTAGCAAAGGCAACACATCTCCTGAAGCACATTGCTTAAACCACTGAGAATAGCTCTCATCATCGCTGTTAGCCTCATTCTCTAATATTTATTGAATGTTTACTGCATCTCTGGCACCGTTCCTCTAATCGTTTCTGTTATGGCAGCATTTGCTGCTACAGATGAAGTGGACAAATAGGATGTTGATGATGACAAGGAAGTTACTGCTATCAATGTGTGGGCCAAGGAAACCATGACTGTGCTAAAAGTCATGAGGCTGCCTCATTATCTCTGACTCTGGTCCTTTTCTTCTCAAAAGAAACTTGTGGGCAGGGAGCCTCAGTAAAGTTCACCATTTATCGGCTGGCAAATCAGCTGAGCATGACCTGGTTATCTGATCCCCTATTTCAGAGGACTGATGGGTTATGTTCTCAGAAGAGCATGACAATTCATCAGGGAAAGGAGCGAGCGGCGGTTCCCCGAAAATGCCTTACTCGTCATTTCGAGGTTTCCATTTCACCGGAACCAAATGTTAGCTCTGGTGGTCTGGGACAGCAAGAGGGATCGTGGCCCTTTTGAGAAAGAAATGGGCTTTTCATAATTTTGAAAGTCTGTTCATATAAAATAAAATAATCATAGCCCAGATGATTGGAATAATTCAGTATTTCAATGGGAAATGTTTAGAGCAAACCCAGATTATTCAGTGTACATTAACAGACAAACGCCCACCCTCCTCTCTAGGGCTAACCCCATCACTTCAAACATCTTCTCTACAGTTGTTGTGTTAAGAGCTTTTCCTGCTTCCCAAACCAGTTTGTGTGTATGTGTGTGTGTGTGTGTGTGTATATGTATATATATTATATATGTATATATATTATATATGTGTATATATATTATATATGTGTATATATATTATATATGTATATATATTATGTATGTGTATATATAATATATGTATATATGTGTGCTGTATATATACACATATATGAATATATAATGTACATATACATATGTATATATAATATACACATCTACACATATATATACATACTGTATATATACATATATACATACTGTATATATACATATATATACATACTGTATATATACATATATATACATACTGTATATATACATATATATACATACTGTATATATACATATATATACATAATGTATATATACATATATATACACACATATATGACAATTCTGTTGATAAAATATTTTATTTGATTTCTTTTCTAGAACCACAAAATTATTCAATGAATTGAAGACTTGGTAATAAACCTAGTGGCCTAGCCAATGTCTTGATTTGATTGCAAAATTGAGCACCCTAAGGAATGAACAGAGAGATGATTTGACAGAGTTTCATTCTTTTTTCCCCAGGAGATCAATTTCAGGCAAAAATGTGAAGAGTTTACCTCTCACACATTCCCATCTCTAAGCTTCCAATTTTATTGGTTCCTTCTCTCTCCTTTCCTCATAGTTACTTTCTTGGGAGTGGCTTTCATGCGTCCAGATTCCTCTTAGTTAACACAAATAAGATAATGTTGTTGTCTGCACTCTTCCTTCCAGTACAATCTGACATTTTATTGAAAACAACAATAATGATGAACAGAAAGCAGGAAAATCTAATAACAGCATCTTACACATTTATAGCAAGACAGTGGGGATGAAATTTTTCAGCAGGACTCTTCCAAGGATCTCTCACCTCATACCAGTAGGCCATCTCCTGATTTACTTGGTCTATGTGCATGATGCCATTTAGTTCACAATCTATTACACAACTTTGGGGTCATAATAGGAGAGATTAGTAAGCGCCGCAAAGAAAGCTCTGAAATCTTCCAAGGAATTAACAGATAATTGAAATGCAATTTACCATTCCATGTCAGAAGATATAGGAGATTTGTGGGAAAGTCTTCTCATTTTCCTTCTCTCTCTCTCTCTCTCTCTCTCTCTCTCTCTGTCTCTCTCTCTCTCTCTCTCTCTCTCTCTCACACACACACACACACACACAGAAAGAGAGAGACAAAGAGAGACTTTATGAAAGAGTAATTGGAGTAGAGAATACCGGTGCATACAGACAGCAAAGTATGTGTCATTATTTGTTCAGAAACATCCTTGTTCCTTACTTCATTATCAAGAATAGTGTCTAAGAAATGGTTAGCACATAGTAGCTGCTCAATCAGTGTTTGTTAAATGACTGAAAGGTGCTTGCATATACCAAGTATTTGAAAGCAGCCTGAAGACACACTTCTTTGCCCTGGGTGCCTAGTGAGTTAGGATCTAAGGAAACTGTCATCCAAAAAGTTTAAGTGTCAGGATACCCAGGATGTCAACAATGATTTCTTCTGTACATTGCTTTGTGTGTCATATTGATTCTTATTTCTCCACCTGAAGATAAGTAAATTTTAAAAATATAAGCCTACCCAAGAGAAATGAAAACTCATGTCCACACAGCATGTCCACCTGTACACAATGTTTTTAGTGGCTTCATTTGCATTCACCAAAAACTAGAAAAAAAAAATGTTCCTCATATGCAGAGTCAATTAACTAACCGTGGTACCTCCCAACATTGCAAGTACACTACGAAAATATGCAACAACATGGATGAACTCAAAAGCATTCCACCAAATAGAAGAAACCAGAGTTCAAAGGCTGCATATTATACGATGACCTTTATAACTCTTTTGCCAAGGCAGAGCTGTAGAGACAGAATTGCCTGTGATTGGGGGCAGGAGGAGACATTGACTAAAAGTGACGGGGGGATTTGGAGGGCGTCATAGACTTGTTCTGTGTCTCAATTATGTGTAATGGTTGCTCAACTGTAAACATTTGTGAAAAGTCATGCCAAAGCATGCACTAAAAAGAATGACTTGTAAATTATACCTTAATTTATTCTAACAAAAGGAAAAGTATAACACTTCTCTGCAGCTCAGTAAGGTAGATATTTTATAGGTATTCAATTTTTTATCTTGTTAAGATCCACGCTTTTTAAAATTTGGAGCCAGTAAAGGGAGTATCTCCTTTGAAACAGGAGTACTGTGGAAACCTGGTTACCACTGAAGGGACTTCTGTTTGGAGGCATTATTGAGAAGACCGAGAATCTAAGATTTTAATAACTTCTGTATCCCCGAATATTCTAATCCACAGTGATTATACCTGTTACCTGACAAGAGTGTTATAAGGATAAATTAGTTAATGTATGCCAAGAACTTTGAAGATGAAAAGGCTCAGACGAGTTTTTGAATACCACTGTTAGCACTAAGACCAGACTTAATGCAAAAGCATTTTTGAAGCAGGTACCTGGGCGGTTTTTCTATCACTCGGCCTCATTGATTTTCAGCTGGCTTCTACAACAGCTTTAGAACTGCAACAGAGACCTCTTGAAAAAGATGGCATCTGTGCAAATGCTGTAAAAACCATGGTAAGGTCGTAACTGGGCTAACAGGAAATTTCAAATCAAAGAATAAGAATCTAGAAGTCAATATCTTAGAAGTAAACAGAGCAAACCATATTTCCAGTGATGGAAACATCTCACCTCATGGAGTTGATGTGTTTCCAAAATGCACAGCATACAAAGACGTATTCTACCAAGAGTTTAAATGGTGAAATAAAGCATCTATCAGTAATCACAACTGAAAGTATGTGATGGTTAAGTTCAGAGTTTATAAATTAAATTATTTTTAAGACGGCCAGGGTCTTCATTGGTGAGGTCTGTAGCTATGGATTGATGCATGCAGATGCCGGCATTTGTGTCTCCTTTTGTAGTAACAACAACTGAACACAGGTAACTGCAATCTGCAGATCATCCAAACCCCCATGGCATGCTTATCCTCCCACATGGCTACACTCATTGTTTTGATCTTTATCGCTCTTTATTTCCCCATTCTTCTCTGGTCGAGGTTCAAAACCAAGGAGTTGAAGGAAAAAGGAAGTGAAAAAAGGGTCATGGCTAAGTATGTGGTAGGATACCCTAGCCTTGAGTCACTGAGACTTTCCACTACAAGAGTGCTACAGATGGCCAGGCGCAGTGGCTCATGCCTGTAATCCTAGCACTTTGGGAGGCCGAGGCGGGTGGATCACGAGGTCAGGAGTTAGAGACTATCCTGGCTAACATGGTGAAACCCCGTCTCTACTAAAAATAAAAATAAAAAATAAAATTAGCCAGGCATGGTGGCGGGCACCTGTGGTCCCAGCTACTCAGGAGGCTGAGGCAGGAGAAGGGCTTGAACCCAGGAAGTAGAGGTTGCAGTGAGCCCAGATCGTCTACTCCAGCCTGGGCGACAGAGCAAGACTCCGTCTCAAAAAAAAAAAAAAAAAGAAGAAGAAGAAAAAGTGCTGCAGATGAATCTCAGGTACACCATTTAATTGAAAAAGAAGAGCACAAGGATAATCAATTTTTTCTTCTTAAATGATCAACAAAATAATTGAAAGAAAGGGTACCTACACACTTCTGATGGGCAATATGATATAGTGCAAAATTATACTGGACCAAGTATTATGAGACCTGAATTCTGGTCCCAATTCTGCCATGAAAAAAACTGTTGAGGACATTGGATAAGGCATGTGGTCCTGCTGGAACTCACTTTCTTCATATGTGAAATGAGGTTATTGCCTGAGGTAAGCTCTAAGTTTTCTTCCAGTTCAGATTCTATTGTTCTTTTTTTAAGGCTAAAACAGCTATTTTTGAATATAGAAATAGCTCCAAGATTTGTCTTTCCATTTTCCAATTTATAGAGCAAGATAACAGGAAAGAACACCACTAGTGATACTGCAAATATTAGGTCTGTTCTTCTTATTTAGAAAGGGAATCTCAGACTGAGCTTAAACTAAACCTGTCATTGAAAGATGTTCCTGAGTTTCTGAGTACACTTGGAGAAATAATAAAATGGCAAAGAATAAAAAATCTGTTTGCATAATGGCTGAGGAGACTCTTGCAGGATGATTCTTCCTTGGGGAGAATAGAATCATCATGAAAGCACACTTAGCCCAATTACAAAGACTTTGTTTTAGAGGAGCAAGTGATTCTGACGCAACTTGGTGTCTGGTACTTGGATTTCCCTGCCATCTTTGGCCCTGTAAGACTCATAGTCAACCAATGGAATGTAGGATCTCAAGTAGAGAGAGGCATCCCATAGCATTGTGTGGTTTAAGCCCATTGAGAACATAAGTAGATCTGCAGGGGTAGAGAAAGGGAGGACTTGGTTGAACTGAGTGCCTGGAAGCCATATCCAGGCAGCCAACTGTCACATTGAAACCCAGCCTTGGTACACAACAGTATACACCGACTTACTCTACCAAGAGTTTAATTGGTGAAATAAAGCATCTATAAGTAAGCACAACTGAAAGTATGTGATGGTTAAGTTCAGAGTTTATAAATAAAATTTTTAAGAGGGCCAGGGTCTTCATTGGTGAGGTCTGCAGCTGTAGATTGTAACTGTAGCAGTGCCAGAGACCCAGTGAGCAAGATGTGCCCAGCCAAGGGACAGACTGAAGCTGAATTAAAGTAACCAATCTCCTGACTCCAAGGGAAGGGACACAGATGAGTTATGTTGTGTGTGCAGGTGCAATGTCCCCAGGAACTTCTAGTTATGGGGGGCAAGTGGGGAAGGGGAGAGGAGGTAATTGGTGCAGGGGTTTTTTAAGGAAATAGGAATACAATCCAACAAAATTCAGGTTGTAGTTGTGATTTTGTTTCAATTCACAATATTGCCATAAGACTATCAGGTTCACAGAAGAAACCATAGAGAAAAAGCTACAGGCCTCAATCAAATCCACTGTGTAGGTGTTGGAAAGAGGGAGGCATGCTTCATGTAAGTAAAGACTTGAAAGAAAATTACAGAATGTCTTTTCTATTTCTCAGATTGAATGCTAGCAATTCCCTTGCCTGTATTTAGAACCTGAGGACACTCTTAACCTTATTCTTTCTCACCTAATTTTTCCTCTACCCATCTATAGCATCCAATATAATGGCATTTGAATTTTTTTCTCTCGCAAATGGTAAACACAACTGTCTCCCATTCAATTAGTATTTGAGGGATTGAGGATTTGGGATAAACTTAGTCCCTAAATTCAAAAGTATTCTAAATTGTCTATTTTGGGGGAAAAAATCAATGACTGCAAAATATAGTTACAGACCTATTTATTATATTTACAGAGTAAAGAATCAGAGAAAACCCACTGTGCTTGCTTAGAAGGAAAATTAAATCATAAAATTAGGATTGTCATCCATACAGCTGTTGTGTTGTTTTAGAACTGTAGCTTCTGTGTGTGTGTGTGTGTGTGCGTGTGTATGTGTGTGTGTGTCTGCGTGTGTATGTGTGTGTGTCCCTCTTTTGCTGTCTCCACATCCTTCCACCCTCCCATTCTTTTATTCTCCTATATTCTATGTTTCTCCAGGAAAGTCTTTTCCTAATATCACCTGGCCACTCTAAAGACGACTTCTCAAAGATTCTGAGGCATCTGCGTGGCCCAGGCTACCTCTTTCATCCCTGCACTAAGTCACCTGGTTGCAAGAAACCCTCTGTCCTCAGGACCTGAAGTAAAAGTGCAATATAAATGTTCCCCTTCCTGCAGGGCCGTCTGAGATTCCCCCAGCCAGATGTCACAATCCTTTCTCTCATTCATTCCTTTGTATTTTATTCAATTTTTTTCCCAACAAATATTTTCAGCCCAACTGTTTATGAGACAAAATGGAAAGTACGCTGTAGTTTTCTTGTGGCTTTCACCATGGTCTACTCTATTGTCCTGGCTGGCCTTTACTGAGGTGCTACTGTGTGCCAAGAACTGGGCTGGGCACTTCATGTACAATTCATTTATTCCATCTTCACAACAAATCTGTGAAGCCTGGGTGTTATTCACTTTAAATAGATAAGCAAACAAGCTCAGAAGGATTAAGCAGCACCATAGTAAATAGAAGAGTTGTGTCTGACTCCAACACCTGTTATTTTTCTAGTACATAAAATAGATAACATCAGAGCTACTCTGATTGAAGCAAGATTGTGGAATCCAGAAACCACATAGATTACCATCCCTTACTCCTGAGGAAACTGTGTCCTTTCTAGATTCCACAATTTGAAACAATTTTACTACTATATTCCTTTAATCCCTGCATAATTTGAATTTCCTCAAAGACAAGAACAATACCTTATTGATTATACTAATTTCAACACCACTTTGCCCTGTGCCATGGACATGAAGGGTGCTCAGCAGAGATGAGCTGAATTCCTCAGCACTCCATCACATACAACATTATGCCAGAGAACAGCCAGCATCCTCTATGAATTCCCACAGCCACCAAGTTTTATCATTGCTGTCTATGAGCACAAGAAAACTCTCCTTCAGGTAAGATGTTAGGACATAACTTTCTTGGAGTAGGTCTTTACATCATTAGGGATTGCCAGGGGGCAAGTCTCTACAGGAATCTTTGTAATTATTCCAATAAATGGAATGTAGGAAGAGCTCATTTCTACTACTGCTATTTTGTAGTCATCTGGAAGGCCAGTGGGCACACAGTCATGCTCCACTAATACCTATTAGGGAAAGGCAAGCTGGCATAAGAAAAATAGCTATCAGGATAAGAGACAAAGGAAAAATTCTACCTGAATGGTTTTTGGAGTTTGGGGGAGTGTCTGAAGCCAGCTTGTATAGGGCGGACATCTGGTTTCAGGCAGCACATAATCCGGTTGTTGTCATGGGGCAGGGTAGACAACATCAGAGACTCTAATCTCCCTGGGGAACACACCCCAGGGATGTGTTCTGAAGATGGTAAGAGGCAGGAGTACAAGAAGCTTCTACGAATGAACAGGTTTGGGAAATGTTGCCTCCTTCATCTTCTCTTTGACATTCTCAATGCATTTTAAAAATTGTAAGTCCAAGAAGTCTCACCCATATTTACCAAATTTCCTTAACCACAGACACCTTTTTTGAGGAACACCAATTGCCACCTTGCAGAACACAGGCTTCCATGGGACTCATTTTGATGACTGTTAAGTAGCAAAATGCCACTCTTTAGTTATGGCTACACTTTTGTCATTGGTCTCAGTCGAGGAACATGGAAGCAGGCACAGGTCTAGTTGAGGCTTGGTGTGAGGCCAGAGTAATCTAAGACTGGGATGGGCAAACTGTGGCCCACAGGCCAAATCCAGGCTGCCTCATGGCATTATAAATGAAGTTTCATTGGAAAACTCCCATGTCCAAGCATACTGACTACATCTATTTCAGTGCTACATTGGCAGAGTTGAGTAGTTGTGACAGAGATCATAAGGCCTGCAAAGCCCTAAAAGAAGTGAATATCTATCCCTATACAGAAAATGTTTGTCACTCTAGCTATCTAGATGTCAAGTCTAGGATATCTCATTCCTATTTAAATCGTGTTACACAAAAAAAATTGAATTTTAAAAACCATGCTATGAACCTATTCTATCTTCTCTTTCTTAAGTTCAAACTCTCGCACATATTTATTTTTTGCCATATTTCCAATGTGAGATCCCACACACAAGTACTATGAAAATACTGGCTCTTACAACTCACAGATTTAGCTAAATAAATGACCCAATTCATATCATCTTCTTCTCCCTTTTCCTATGTCTACTTTTGTTGAGATCTTATTCTCCTTATTTCTAGTTAATACCCCTTACTCCCTAAGGCTTTTCAGTTCAAAGGAATATTCTAGAGAAACCTACTGATTTCCACCAGACCTGACACAAATAAGACCCTTTGCAGTGCCCTCCACCAATATGAAATGTGTGCTCCAAAGCCGCTTTCTCGATATGGGGAGAGAATGGCATGATAACGTCAGCCCAATGCTAGCACTACTTGCCCACTCTCTACTTTAATGTGCTGAGGCAAGACTTTAGCAAAATAAATACAAGTTGAATCCTAATGATGTTTTTTTCAATAGATCTCTTGGGACCATCTTTCTGTAGAAGAGAGTCCCAGGACGAGACTGTTCCTTTAAGGAAGTACATGTATTGTACTTTCTTTTTCCAATATTCAAAATTAAGCCCCTCCAAATGGCTTACAAACCGAAGTTTATAACGTCAGCCTACACAAGTTCAGTGCAAAAAGATCTACAGCCTGCAGGCAGAGCGAGGAAGCTCTTTAAAGATGAATCATTTTCATAAATGAGTGCAGAGGGAGGTCAGGCCAGGGAACAGGGAAGGTTACATGTGTGCCTGAGATAAGGCCTCATCCATCCTCCTCTTACTGTCAGGCCTTGATGGGTGAACACTGCCTTGAGCTCCCATAAAACATGTTGTTTGCAGAAAACTTGCAGGTGGTTCATAAAAAAGTCCAAACTGTTACCATGAAATTTATCTTCCACTGTGGGATCTGTTTATAATAGAAACGAAGGATCTCAAATAGAAATTAAGTATCTCAGACTGACTTATATTGGCTGGGAGGATTGAAAAATTCAACCTGCTTCCCAATCATCGCACTAAAAACGTCAAAGTATTTGTATTGATGACATCTTGACAAGATACGAGTATGTTCAAAAGAAAAATAATGTCCATTGTGTGCACAGTCCTTATCCCTGGGGTAAGAATAGGCTAGGTGAGATTTTATGGGGAGAATTTAATCAGACAACTGAACTCTTCATCACATTTTATTTCTGAAGAGTGTCAAGGATCTGTTATTTACAATTTTTCCATCTGTATGGTCAAAGTGAAAAGGGCATCTCAATTTTTTTAAGTTGTTAGGAGATGTTTATTATCTCAAAGCCAAAAAGAGATTGGGGGCAGCGGTAATATTGGCCGTAATTTGAGTTATCTCCATATAGAAATTGAAGGGGGGATGCTGGGACAATTCGTGTAGATAATTCAGACCCTAAAGCTTCCAGAACTAGAAATAAAGAGATAAGTGAGGAAGATGCACTAAATTTTGCTTGTCTTTGTTTTCCCAGAACTGTGCTTATAATTGACTCAATTTATCACATCACATACACATGCACCTGTATGGTGGTGTGAAGTTGCTGAAAAGAGTTGTAGTCATAAATTTTAAATTGATGAACTTTAGCGTCTACATGGAAGAATATTATGCAGAAAACAATTCATAGAATCCCAGCAAGTTCTAGCGGGAGGGACCTTGGATAGGACATAGCTCAGAATCTCAACCCCCAACCACAGACAAGAAAGACAAAAGTCTGCAACAATAAGGAGGACTCACAAGTGCTTCTACTACTGTGACAGTAGTTGTGATCCAGGTCTTCATTCCACCCGAATTCTTCTTCTCCATTCCTTCTCACCAGGGTGGATGTGTAAGGTCAGACTACAACGTGGGCTGAGAAGCACTGTATCTAATCCAATACCTTCAATTTAAATGAGACCTGGCTTTAAAAAATAGTGACAAGTCAGAGATGTCCCACTTCAGTACCTTCTTTGTCCTACTTTTTACCTGCCTCCAATCCTGCACCTTGGACACCCAAGCCACTCTTGGAGGAATCACTGTGGCCTTCCTTCATAAAAGGTCCTGTGTGCTCTACCCAAAAAGTATTCAACTCCTCCTCATTTAATTTAAAATTAGCACTTTATATCCATGCTCTCTTCCCCTCTCTCACTGTCAAGAAAAAATATGAAATGGTTTGGCTCAGTGTCCCCACCCACATCTCATCTCTAATTGTAATCCCTAGTGTTGGAGGAGGGACCTGGTGGGAAGTCACTGGGTCATGGGGGCAGTTTCTAATGGTCTAGCACCATCCCTCTAGTGCTGTCTAGTGATGGAGTTCTCACGAAATCTGGTTGTTTAAAAGGTGTAGCATTAGCAAACAATGGGCACACACAAAAAAAGGTGTGGAGCACCTCTCCTCATTCCTCTCTTCCTCCTGCTCTGGCATGTGAAGTGCCAACTTCCCCTTCACCTTTTGCCATGACTGAAGCTGGGCAGATGCTACCATGCTTCTTGTACAGCCTGCAGAACCATGAGCCAATTAAACCTTTTTTCTTTGTAAATTACCCAGTCCCAGGTATTTCTTTATAGCAGTGTGAGAACAGACTAAGACAAGTTGTCTAAGGACTGAATAGTTCTAAGACTTAATGTTGCCCTGTTTGTGATAACAGCAAGTCAAAGTGGGTAGATAATTCCAGTCAAGTATGTTGTTCGAAAATAATGGATTTATAACACTGGAGTTTTAGGCACCATGACAAGCAGAAGAAGAGTATATTTGGAAATAAGGTGGTGTTATGGACTGAATGTTTGTGACCCCCTCCCCAAAATTCATATGTTGAACCCCTAGCCTCCATAATGGGAGGGTATTAGGAGGTGGGACCTTTTGGAAGGTAATTAGGTCATGAGAGTGGAGACCTCATGACGGGATTAGTGTCCTTATAAGATGAGATACCAGAGAGCTTGGCCCTTCTCTCTGCTGTCCACCATATGAGGATACAGCAAGAAGGCAGCCATCTGCAAACCAGGAAGAGAGCCCTTGCTAGATGCAGGATCTGCCAGCACTTTGATTATGGATTTCCAGGCTCCACAACCGTGAGAAATAAACATTTGTTGTTTAGCCCTCCAAGTTTAGGGTAATCTGGTATAGCAGCACTAACTGACTTAGACAGGGAGCTTCTCAGCACTTTAGGGACCCATTTACATATATAGCTTTCCACATATTTTTGTCAGTTCTTGTTTTATATTTCAGGTGTTGAAGTTAAGTAGTAGCTTACAATTTAAAATATTGTGTTGGAGGAATTTAGCAAATGTCATGCCCCTAAGGTTATTTAATTAATATTCTCTGAAGTAGACAGCTTGAATATAAATAATATGCTAAGAGGCATTGTCTATACTATTGGACAACTGTTATTTGCAGTTTTAAATCATGAAATAGAAATGACTTCATCTGCCCTTCAGTCTTCTCTACTGTTCTAGCAGGATTCTGTGATGACTCAGACAAGTGAACTACTATCTTAATCCCAAAGACTTCAATGAAAAGATTCACCCCCTGTCTTTTCCTCTCATTTCAGTGTTTAATATCACTTGCCATCATGGAATGCTTTCCAATCTAAACCCTTCCCATGACAAGGTTTTAATAGTTACTAAGCACCACAGAAGGCCTTGACGTACTCATTTAATAAACAAAAATCACTTGAGCAATTTCTACATCTAAACAGCATATTAAATAGTAGAGATAAGGTGTCTCATGCATGTAGCGTACAACCAAACAAAGAAATTAAAAGGCAAATGTAACTACTCTTGTAAGTCATGGTATATATAATAGTTAAAACTTACATAATGCTGATTATCATAACAAAAACTACTATGCGAAGAAGTTTACTAAAAATAACTAATTTACTCCTACAACACTATAGAGTGTTATTATCCCTATTTTATAGATGAGAAAACTAAGACTTAGGTTAAGTTACTTACTCAAGGACACAGAAAATGGAAGAGCTGAGAGTTTATCAATTAAGTGAAATTTTAAGTTTTCTAAAATATTTTCAATATTTCTCACTTCCGTGACCTCATGGAACCAATAACACTTATTTAAAAGAAAAGAAATCTATTCTACATGTAAATGTGCCAAGCAAGTGTCTCCATTTGTTATCAAACTATCTTGGTCTTAGCTCAACTTCCAAAATGATAGTTTTAGAAAATAAAGTTAAGAAGATCACTAAACTGGATTATAGTACCACTATACCAAGCACCTTGGTGTTTTGCCAATTAAGCTTTAGTGTTGAATTGTTAATATACTAATCTTCTTTGACCTAAAACAAAACCATCAAAAAAAAAAAAAAAAAAAGAATCTCAAAAAGATACTCTTTCCTGCTCAACCCAATGTGCCATGAGCTATATTTCCTCCCATGGTCACCAGTAGGCACCAGAGCTAACATTCCTGAAATTTTTTGTCCATTTAGAATTATTTAGATAAAATTGGTTTAAGCGACTCTTTGTGCCCCTTTACTTACCATTCTCCAGGCTTTTGTTGAACACTAATTATTCAGTGCAAAGCAGAGTAGAAAATAGAGGAATAAGCCCTATGCCTACCTTGCCCTCAAACTGTTGTATAGTCAATAAAGGAGATAAGATATATACATAAATAAAAAAAGATAAAGTAAAAAGTGGGAGTAGCCGTAAGAGAATAAAACTTCCAATCTGGAGAAGATCAAATGAGGCTGCGTGGGAATGAGGCTTTTGAGTTAGACCTTGGAAGTGAAGAAAAAAAAAAAAAAAGAATGCACATTCTATTAAAGTTTAAGAAAGCAAAGAGAATATTTGATGTACAGAGAGAACAAAAAGCTGTTTGATTTAACCAAAAAGGTACGTCGTATAAGATCTTATGACTGTCACACAAAGACATTTGAATTTCGTTTTCTTAGAGGATGGAATTCGTGAAGGGATTTTTAACAGGAGGGGCAAACATTAAAGTTTTGGTTTAGTATGATTGGTTCATCCCGAGCCAGCTCTCAACACTTCTTGGAACAAGAACACATTCAATTCATATTTGAAGACTTGTTTAGTGTATACAGGTTGTTGAGAGGAGAGACTGTTAGGGCAATTCAAGTGATATTTTATTAGAGCCTAAACTAGGAAGCAGAAGTGCAGAGGAGTAACAGATGAGAATAATTTTGTAAAGACACAGTTGATATAATTTGACATCAGATATCAAGATGATGGAGAAGAATGGGAAAGAATCAAATATAAATTCACCACTATCATGAGGATAGTAGTAACATTATTCAAAGTACAAAATATTAGATATATTATTTCTAATTACTCGATAAATTTGTAAATATTGTTCTTAACCTTCTTGATCACAATTTGCACACATATTCCACTTGTAATAAAACATCATATGATACAATGAACTGAAATAGAGGCAAAGATGGCAGGACATGTTTTGCCAAGGACATTTTTACAGATCAGTATTAAAATTCTCCAGTGGTTAAAGATAATGATTTGTAGAATGAGGTAGAGAAAAAGCTTACAGAGCTATCAGCTTATTATTCAGAAAAATCACTTTGCTTTAGCAAGTTGCAATCATGCTATTGAGAAAAAATAAACAAAAAAAAGTAAAGAAGATTGTTAAAACAATATAAGATGATTGGGTAATTAGACTTAATTCTAGCCTAAGAATCATATATTCTAGAAGAATGTGGGAAATATAATTTCAAACAAAGATAACCTAGTCAAGATGGAATAAAGGCATTCAAATTTCCTTCTCACCTAAAACAATAAAAAACTTGACAAAATATATGAAATAATGGTCTGTGAGCCCTTGGATATAGGAAAATAAAGGGCAATTATTATTAAAATATGGGGAACAAATAAAACGAGCCTTAAAATTGTCCAAGCTTACTTCCTCGAGAGAGTTTGCAGGCCACAGTGGAGGGAAGGGTAACTCAGATCAAATTTGGCATATTCCATGAGTTGTGAAGATGGAATTAAGGGGAGTCAAGGCAGCTAGTATTTGAAGGATAAAGCATCAAATAGGAGACAGCTACACACAGAGCGAATGCCAGGATCTACAGTATTCCCCTCTGACATTCAACTTAGTTCTGATCAGCTTATGCATGTGAAGTCCAGGAAAAGCACCACCTGAAAGGATCAGGAGGTCACAGTGCCTGGCACTCACCCAAGGCTGGGAATAGTGTCTATTTCCAAGAGCCAGATTGGAAAGCCTTGATATTCACAGGGTCCTCAGTAGAGTACACAAATCGATCTCTCCTCAGTAGTGGAGAAGATTTAGTCCTAGAGTAAGCACTGCTCCAGTTCACCTACCAAATCTGAAAAGCAAGACCCAAAAAGGATCGAACTGTTTCTAAGTAACTTGTCTACATCCCAGAACAAAGCTTAAGAATACCCCTAGAAAAGAAAAATATCCAACACCTAATAAGGTGAGATTCACAATGTCTAGCATTCAATCAAAAAGTATCAGGCATGCAAAGAACACAGGAAAAAGCCATCAATCAGACCCATAACAGACACAGATATTAAAACTTGTAGCCGACAAGGACATTAAAACCATTGTTACAAATCAATTTCATTCATTCCAAAAGTTAAATAGAAAGATGAACGGTATAGAAAAGACTCAAGGCCAACTACTAGAAATGAAAAATCAATGTGTGTGAAAAGGAAATCTCACTAGATGGGATTAATGGCAGATTAGATATTATGGAAGAAAAAAGTAATAAACTCTACAACGTAACATTGGAAACGGTCCAAAACAAAACATAAAGAGAAAAAACAATTTTTAAAAAAAGATGTATCACTGAGCTATGAGAAAATTTCAAGCAATCAAATATATATATATCCTATTTGTAATTGGAGTCTCCAAAAGAGAAGAAGGGGAAGAAAATTAATTGAAGAAATAATGGCTGAAATTTTTGCACATTTAATGAAAACTATAAACTCGTAGATTGAAGAAGGTTAACAAATCCCAGATATTAGGAACATGTAGAAAACCACACCAAGGCACACGTATCAAATTATTCAAAACCAGTGCTAAAGAGAAAACCTTTAAAACAGCCAGAGGAAGAAAGACACATTACATACAAAAAAACAAAACAAAACAAAACAAAAAAAAACAAAGATACAGGTGGCAGCAGATTTCTTCTCAGAAACAATCCAGATAAGAAGACACACTTTGAAATATTGAAAGAAAACCAAAATTGACAAAGTAGAATTATTCACCAAACAAAAAAAAAATTCCTCTCAAAAGCAAAGGTAAAATGAATTCATCTGCAGCAGATCCACATTACATGAAATGTTGAAGTATGTCTTTCAGACAGAAGGAAAATAAAACCAGATGGAAATATAAATATATACAAGAGAATCTAGAGTACTGGAAAGATTAACACTAGGGCAGGTATATAAGATTTTTTCTTATTATTTAAATTTCTATCAAAGATAATCATCTAATTAAGCAAAAATAATATAAACGTAGCATAATAAACATAAAATACTATACAATTATAGCATAAAGATGGAGGAGGGAGAAACAGAAGTCTACTATTGTAGCATTCTTATACTTATGTATGTGGAGTGGTACATGATTACTTAAAGATAGACTTCAGTAAGTTAAAGATGCATACAATAAATCCTAAAGCAACTACTGAACAAGCACAAATAAAGAGATACAATCATACGTCCACAAGGGAGATAAAATAGAATCATAAAAAATATGTAATTAACCCAAAAGAAGGCAGAACAGGTGAAAGAGAGAGAGAGAGAAGAGATGGGACACATAGAAAATAAATTGCAAGGTAATGTATTTCAACCTAATCATATCAATAATAACATTAAATGCAAGTAGTGTAAATGTCCAATCTAAAGGCAGATATTATATAAGGTTAAATAAAAAACAAGACCCAACTGTGTGCTGCTTACTTTAAATATAGATAAGAAGTAAAAGGGTTGAAAAAGATATTTTATTCCAACAGTAATAAAATGAAATCTGGCTATATTAATATCAGACAAAGTGGATTTCAGAGAAAAGAATGTTACTGGGGATAAAGAAGGTAATTTCATAACGATAAAGGGATCAATTACTAAGAGGTCATAAAAATCCTAAATATTTATGCAGCTGAAAACAAGCAAAAACGGATAGAATTTCAAGGAGAAATAGACAAATCCATAAGTAAGAGAGTGACTAATTGTTAACACATTCATTCAACAAAAATATACTAAAATCCTCCAAACACAAGACATTGTGCCAGATGCGAAGGAGACTACAAATGACTTTAGACTCCTCAGGTACATAACAAAAAATTTGTGTGATAATCTCTACTCACTCTTCCAATTCTTCCATGATTTTGTTTTTTACAAGTTCACAAATCCTTATAAAAATAATAATAATAATTAATACCTCTCAAATTTGGCATGATCTAGGTGCCCAGGTGTGATACTCAGTTTTATGTATCAGCTTTCCTGGGCTACAGGATGCCCAGATAGCTGGCTAAACATTATTTCTGGATGTGTGTACCAAGGTGTTTCCAGAAGAGATTACAATTTGAATTGGTGGACTCAGTACAGCAGATCACCCTCACCAATGTGGGTAGGCATCATCCAAGGGATTTAGCTCTTGACTAAGACAAAAACAATAATAGAGAAAGGGAAGATATTCTCTCTCTCTCTCTCTCTCTCTCTCTCTCTCTCTCTCTCTCTCTCTCTCTCTCTCGACTGCTTGAGCTGTGGGATCAATCTCCTGCCCTCATGTTTCTTAGGCCTTCAGACCCAGACTGGAATCTATACTATAGTCTCCAGCTCTCAGGCCTTCAAACTACATCACCAAATTTCCTGGGTCTCCAACTTGCAGATGGCAGATCTTGGGACTTCTCAGCCTCCATAATCATGTGAGTTGATATCTCGTAATATATTCTAATGGTTCTGCTTCTCTGGAGAACCGTAATACACCAGGATACAAAATTCAAAGTACCAGATTTCTTTGCCTTAAATCTCTTTTGAATGTAGGCAGCTACAAGTAAATAACAATAAACAAAAACAGGGCCATGTGGTAAGTATCCTAACATGGGTATGTTAAAAGACCCAACTATGCCTAGGGAGGGGAGGTAAAACTACAGAAAAAAGGTGGCATAACCTGAATGTGGAGTTTGAGGGGAACCCCTTCCCATGGAAGAGGACCCTGGGGGAAAGAAGGCCAGCACTTCCAGAGCTCAGGAGCACCATAGAATATTCAGCAAATGTTAAGAATCCTAGTCCATCTTGAAAACTGGTGTACAAAGAAGTCTGAATTTCCAACAGGATCACCCATTCAATCATGAAGAGATTTCCAAGTCATGCGAAGTAACTGTTTTTCCAATCCATTAGTAATGGGGAACAATGAAAGGGTTTATTTTTATTATAAACATAATTTGTGCATTTATGGGAAATATTAAGTATAAAGTAATAGTTTCCCTTACGTATCTACTCAAACTTCCTCCTCTCATGATAGAATTTTAAGCAGAGGAGTAATAAGCATTTATTACATTAGCATTTTAAACATATCACTATGGTAGCCACATAGGTGGAGAGGAAAATCAAAACTGGAAACATACTTGGGGTTGTAAAATCGAGAGAGTCCCGGATTGCAAAAGGATTAAAATCAATTAGATGATATAGGGCCTATTTCAGGTAAGTTCTTTTGGAGGATATCAGAGGAGATTTTTTGCATATCAGAAATGACATTCAGCCAGGTTTGGTGGCTCACACCTGTAATCCTAGCACTTTGGGAGGCCAAGGTGAGAGGATTGCTTGAGCCTAGGAGTTCAAGACCAGCCTGGGCTACATAGTAAAACTCCATCTCTACAAAATTAAATTAAATTAAATTAAATTAAATTAAATTAAATTAGCTGAGTGTGGTGGTATGCACCTGTAGTCTCAGCCACTCAGGAGGCTGAGCTGGGACGATCACTTGAGCCAGGGAGGTCGAGGCTGCAATGAGCCATGATCTTGCCACTGCAATCCAGCCTGGGTGACAAAGCAAGACCCTGTGTCAAAAAAAGAAAAAAAAGGAAGAAAGGAAGAGAGAAAGAAAGAGGAAGGAAGGAAGGAAGGAAGGAAGGAAGGAAGGAAGGAAGGAAGGAAGGAAGGAAGGAAGGAAGGAAAGAAGAAAGAAAGAAAGAAAGAAAGAAAGAAAGAAAGAAAGAAAGAAAGAAAGAAAGAAAGAAAGAAAAGAAAGAAAGAAAGAGAAAGAAAGAGAAAGGAAGAAAAAAAGAATAAGAAGAAGGAAGGAAGGAAAGAAAGAAAGAGGAAGGAAGGAAGGACATTCAAGACGTGTTCACATGCTGAAATGGGAGAAAGAGTATTTTAGTTAAAAGGACTGGCATAAGAAATGATACAGAACAAGGAAGGTGCCACGCATATCTCAAAAGCAGCAACCACTCCAGTGGGGCTTGAATAAAGGGTCCTGGCTGGGCCATAATGAGAAAGAAGGCTGGGAAGGGGAATAGGAGGAAGTCCACAAAGAGCTTCAAACAGCAGTCTAAGCTGTAGGAATCCCTTGACCATGTCTGACCAGCAGATAGGACCTGTGGTTTAGGATGGGTTAGAAAGGAGGAGAAGGGAGCCTGGTTACGAAACCGCTCATTAATGAAGAACCAAGTTAACATGGCAGCACTAGGAGCACACAGGTGCAAGAGACGTCATGGAAGCAATGAGTTCGGGGAGGTGGAAGAAAAGTTGTAGAATTTCTGGAAAGCTAGAGAGCCTCAGGCTCCAAACTATTAAGGCCCTTTTCGAGTTTCCTCTTGTTATCCATGAGTTCCAGACTGGAGTTAGTAATCTGGGCTTATTCATGCCAACATGTCCCATAAAGATACAAAAGGAGATACACACATTCACAAATAGACATATACACAGATATAAAGATACACAGATAGACTGATACCAAGGTACATCGACTCATAGATCCAGGTACAACGTATAATTGGAAGGATACCTGTTTGTTATTCCAGATCTCAACTGTGCTTCGCAAAGAGCAAGAAAATGTTCCAAAGTTTGGCTCCAAACATTTCTAAAAACTGGGTGATAGGTCAGAGAGTAAGTGGGAAGAGCAAGAGTTCTCACTTTTTCCAAACCAGTTCTCCCATTTCTCTACCACATAACATTACCAGTATAACAGGTTTGCCGGTTGATTGAACATAAAAGCACTCCTACTCCTTCCCAAAATGCCCCAAGTCTGTTGAAGTGCACACAGGACCCTTAAATTTTAAGCTGTCTTCCTAAATACACACAAACAGTGCAGTGAGTGATATTACACTTGTTGAGTCAACCATGCTAGGGCTTTGAGCCTGGGTGAAGTTCCAGGTATTTCAAAACCTCAGGCTCAGGCCACTTAAACTAGCCCTAAGGCTTTTATAAGAGCTATAATCCCCAGCTAAACACAAGCAGCAAGAACTTGATTTTGCACATTTCATGAACGCTGATCACAAGTTAAGTCACCGGGCTCTGGGTGATGCAATGACTCTTGAATAACTAGGTAGCTGCTTTGGGTATGTTAGTTAATGCTACATGATAACATAGTAATAACAATTAACTCAATCACATTCTAAAGGAAGTGCTATAAGGATCCTACACTGTGGTTTAGAAAGCAGAGGTAATTACAGCTCTACCCTATAATTTTATGGTTTATCTAGCCCTATAAGCATGCCACTTGATGAGAACAAAAGAGGTGCTATGCAACTTTCATTGAGAAACCAGGGAGCCTTGTGAAACACTGAAGACTTACCCATAAAAATCTGAATTTTTAACTTGAAACAAGAAAGTTAAGATCTTATCCATCCCAGTTTTAATTAGAGAGATAAAAGGATGTGAAAAGAAACAATGCAATTGGCAATTAAAGCTCATCTATGAATAAAATTCTTTGTTCTCCAAATGTGGTTTAGAATTGAGTGAACAGCTTCCTGTTTAGAGACTCCCATACTGGAAGGCAGAGAAATGCCCTGTGTTCCAGTGGCCTCTGTCCCGTGGTATCTGGCTATCCGCCAAAACAACTACCTCTCCTGTTCTGCAGTTCTCACACAATGATGAAAGGTCTTGACTCTAGACTTACAACTTGGGTTTGCAAGCTACCTCCCTGCCAGCTCTATTAGGTTAAATAAATGACTTACCCCATCAACCTCAGGTTCCGCACCTGTAAATTGGGACTAATAATTTATGTGAAAGATTATTGGAAAAGCATGTAAAAATGCTTTGTAAAATCTAAATACTAAAAAAAAAAAATTATCACTATGCCATATATTGTTACCTGATACACTATGAGGGTGGAAATGCAACATATTATAGAAGAAACACTAAAATGTTTGTATTTAGAAGTTAGTGCAAATGAAAACACAGATGTAATACTTTCTAAACCAGCATATTTTTAAAATGTGCTACTATCCTTACTAAAGTAGCAGCATTTCAGTTGGATAGTAATGTAGATTCTATTAAGCAAGGACGTATGAAGAAAGAGTTGCATAGCTAAGTACAAAAATATTATGTAGTCAACCATGGTTACTGCCTAGATGATGAAACAAAATATGCCCAAACTGAAATAAAAACATCACTAGTGTTGTGTTCTATAATAACCTTTCATATCCCAGGAGAGGAAGTTAAATAGGATTCTCTCACTGGTCTTAAAATATTTGTCTATCAGGTGGAAATATTCGTAATAATGTGTGGAATACTTTCTGAATGTCATTTCCTGTTATAAAGAGACAAAACTAAGCCTTGATGTCCACTTTCCCCAAACATCTGACCAAAAAAAAAGATGTTTTAAGTTTATTAACAGAAACATGAAATGAAAACTTGCAATAAAGAAAATAATGAGAGCTATCTGGGGCTGAGACCCTTTAGAAATTCTCTTAGAGCTTTGGAGACAGTACCACTGTCTGCTCAGTCCTGACTCCAAACTGCACCTCTCCCACTCCTAAGCCGACATGGATGAAAACCAGCCCCACTTTAGGCCTGACTGTGTAAGACCCTGTATTGTCATTCCAGGGCATGTTTAAGTCCTTTTAATAGATTAGGTCAGGATGGTATCCTCATAATTTAGTGTTGTGAATAGTACAAATAAAGGCTTCAATGACATCTAATCAGAACATTTTCTTTCTCTTCTCTAAGACCCTTATTCCACAGAGGTCCAGATTTCCCCAGTCTGTCAGTCATTACAACGACAAGCTGTCTTAGCGCATTTGAAAGCCATTGAGTAGCTAATTTGCCAATATAGATTTAAAAGAGATGAGACAGCTTATGGTTGTGGTCTCCCTCTAGCTTCTCCCACACAAAGAAGTCTGGAGCACATGGGGGATTTCTTTTGCTGAAGGCAGACCATTGTTTAAACATTGATTGCCTCTTTTTTCTATCATTCACTTTTTCTCTCTCCCTGTACATGGCCGCCACCAGACACAGATTTCATTCATGGCCCATCGGCTGAAAGTTACCTGCTCAACACACTGATAAATGAGCCATTTACAGGTCAGAGTGATGGGAGAAAAAAAATAACACTCATATATATTAACTAAGCCTTGAGTGAATTTTTCTCATCTACTCAAAAGACTTACAAGCTTTTTATTATGCCAATGAACTCTGGCATATACAACAGAAAATGAACTAACTCTTGTTAAAGTAATTTCATAATGCAAAAGGAAAAAAAACACCTATGCAAATGCAGGGCATTTGAGAAATATATGGCACATCTCATTTGGGACTAAAGAGACCCTGGGACAATTTTTCCCAGGCTGCTTTACACAGAGCAAGTGCACGGTGATTCTGGTCCAGGGAAAAAGAACAGATTTTAGAATCAGACCTAAGGGCAAATCCTGACTTGAGTACTTATCAATGATCATGGAAAACTTACCCAATTTCTCTGGGCCTCAATTCCTTATTTGGGAAATGGGACACTATGACCTACCACACAGGGTTGTATTCTGTGAAAATCAGAAGCAGAGGTTGTTTTTCTGATAGTAAACAATGCAGAAAGAGCAATGATAATATTAAACATGTATATAATATTGATATGGTTTGGCTCTGTGTCCTCACCCAAATCTCATCACGAATTGTAATCTCCATGTGTCAAAGGAGGGACCGGGTGGGAGGTGATTGGATCATGGAGGCGGTTTCCCCCACGCCGTTCTAATGACAGTGAGGGAGTTCTCACGAGATCTGATGGATTTAAAAGTGGCAATTCCCCCTGCACTCTCTCTCTCTCTCCTGACACCCTGTGAAAAAGGTGCCTGCTTCCCCTTTACTTTCTGCCATGATTGTAAATTTCCTGAGGCCTCCCCAGCCATGGGGAAGTGTGAGTCTATTAAACCTCTTTTCTTTGTAAATTACCAGTCTCAGGTAGTTCTTTATAGCAGTGTGAAAATGAACTAATACAAATATTAACAATGTGTCATGAAGCATTCTATAATGAAATTGAGGCACAGAGAGATAAAGTGATTTGCCCAAGGTCACACAGATAATAAGTGTGGAATCTAGATTTAGACCCAGGCAGTTTGGCTGCATAATCTGTGGTGCTAATCATCACACTCTAAAATGAATATTTTCTAAGTCCAGGAATCTATTATACTGTAGCCCTCATGAATATAAAAAACAGAAAAACATTTGAATGAACCTGAATGAGAAGAGTTGATTGTAAGCCTAACAGAGACTCTTCAGGCCATGGAAGTTGGGTTCCCAGTCATGACTCAAAGAAGCAGAACTGGACAGTAGGTCTGAATTCCAGGCAATGGCTGGAGAACTTAACAGAAAGAGCTCTGGCTTTTCTTTAGGGCCAACCAGCCATGGAATAACCTTGCTCTAGGGACTCCACCCCTTTCTCCTGTTTCTGTCTTCTGGTGGGAACCTCCTACTCACTTTACTGAATTTTTGCATTCTGTTCCCACAATTCAATTCCTCTGTAATTCAATCTGAGATTCCAAGGGAAAAAAATCAGCTATGATGCCCTTGATGGGTGGTCTCCATCCCAGAACCAGCCAAGTCTGCCTGAAGAGGCAGAATCCATGCCACAAACATGGCTGCCTGATTCTTCTTCAGTAGAAACTTTAGAGAGAGGAAGTATCAATAGGCACTTCAAAATAGACCTTTCCCATTATGACCTTGCTGTCCTCTTATCCTTCCCATCCTGGGAGGCTGAGGAATGCAGAGCTTGAACTCAGCCTTTAGAATCAGTGAGCCTAAAAAATAAATCCTGTCTCTCCCATTGCTGGCTGTGTGACATTAGACAAGTTACTAAGCCTCTGCAGAACAGTTTCCCCTTGTGTAAAATGGCAAGAATAATAACTCCTTCATACATTTATTTTGAGTATTAAATGAGATATTATATATAAGATACTTTAACACAAATCTCGGCACATAGTAAGTGTTTAGTAAATGTTATTTATTTTTTAGCACCAGTCACAGCTCAAGAGGCTTCATCCATGTACTTACCCTTTTGAGTTTTAAGGCCACCAACTCCTTTGTCCTCTTTCCTCCCAAATCTTTGCTTTTTCTTTAACACCCAAGTAGAAAAGGCATCCAAGTAATCAGAAAGGACCAGGGATAAATGACCAGGCAGGGAAGCCACTAAGTAAGTAGGTATATGCAGTAGATACTGCTGCTCATCATCCTGTTTGGTTATTCCCTTAGTAACAGAATCTTGATATTATTTGTGTTGACATGGCACCTAACACTACAGCTGATACTACATTTTCCTGCCTCCCTTGCAGCAAAGTATGGCCTCACCTCCAACATCTGGCCAATGAGCTGCAATGAGATACTTTGTGGGTTTCCAGAAAGCTCCTTCAAGGAGCTGGCTACAGGTGCATCCCATGGCCCACCCATCTTTCTTCCCAACCTACAACATGGACATTTGGCTCCTGGTCCCAGAGCCACTTTAGGATATGGAAGCTGTCTGTTGAGGACAATTCAGTGGGGAGGGGTGGGGAAATAGAAGTAGCCTGAGTCTCGGAAATCTATAGAACCTCCTACCAGCTGTAAACTACCTACCTCCAGACTTCTATTTTGTGAGACAGAAACATGTATCTTGCTTAAGCCACTGTTACTTCAGGGTGTTTGTTGCAGAATATAATCCTAACTGACCACTTGCAACAACATGGATGAACCTGGAGGACATCATGCTAAGTGAAATAAGCCAGGCACAGAAAGACAAATATTGCATGATCTCACTTCTATGTGGAATCTAATAGTCAAACTCATAGAAACAGGGTAGAACAGTGGTTACCAGGCGTGGGGAGGAGAAGGAAGTGAGGAGAAGTAGTCCAAGGATACACACCTGCAGTTATGGAGGATGAGTCAGCCTAGAGTTCAGCTTGAGGACTAGAGTTAATAATAATGTACTGCATACCACAAATTCGCTCTCAGAGTGAATTTTAGGTGCTCTTACCCCACACGAAAAGGGTAACTGTGGAAGGTGGGTGGATAAGGTCATTTGCTTAGCTGTAGTAATCACTTCACTATCTACATGCATATCAAAAACATCATGTTATACACCTTAAATATATACAATTTAAGTATATATGTGTACAATTCTAACTGATGTAATGAATCTGGAAGTCCTCAATTAATATCAAATAATTAAAATATTAAAGATGATGCATTTATCAAGACAGAATGGGTACATGGAAATGATATAAAAGAAGAAAAGATATATGGAATACTTACAATCAGAAATAATATCCCTGAATAAAAACCTGTATACTACAGCAGAATTTTTTCTTTTTTTGAGATGAGATCTCACTCTGTCCCCCAGGCTGGAGTAGAGTGCCATTGACAATGATAGTTCGCTGCAGCCTCAACATCCTGGTCTAAAGCAATTCTCCAACCTCAGTCTGCCAAGTAGCTGGGACCGCAGGAGCGTACCATCATGCCTGGCTAATTTTTTTGTTATTTGTAGAGATGGGGTCTTGCTATGTTGCTCAGGCTGGTCTCAAACTTCTGGGCTCAAGCAATCCTCCTGCCTCAGCCTCCCAAAGTGCTGGGATTACAGGTGTGAGCCACTGCACCCAGCCAAGAAAAATTATTATGACCTGGTACTCCACACTTGGATACTTAGACACCTACCTGATCCACTAAACTTCTGAATAACCCTGACTGAATGACTTGAACTTTCTCTGTCTTAAGATTTTACTTTTCTGGATGGACATCATAAGCCTTACCTGACAGAGGTAATCCATGAATTACTTAGAACATCACTCACAATATTTTACTAACATAATCATACTTTTTCTTGGATCTCTGACCAACAAGTTTCTTTCAACCACAACTACCAAATTCTCAGGTAAGTGTATACAAATGTATTAATCATATCTTTGGAGGGCACTAAATCATTGATACCTGTACATAAAAGAATGGACAATAGTCCACAACCTTATTAAAGAAGTAACAATACTACCAACCTATGCTTTTTGTGGTTTTATATTTTCTTGGTCCACATTGCAAGATGTGAGCCCCTAGATTCACTTCCAGCTGCAGACCTCATCTCAGTTCCTTGTCTGTCCACTCCAAGCTTGCCCAAGAGTGGCCCCTGCATAGGTGGCATTTGCCCTTTGGGTAATAAGTTCTTCCATGTTACATTATTCTCATTAGGCCACAGGAATGCCCAAGGCAGCATTACTAGCTTGAACCAAAACTCTGGCAATTAACAGAAATCTGATGACAATAATAGTCACATGAAGACAGACCATGGCATAACCCACTCTTTTAGGAGTTTTCAGATTATCATCTTGCAAAATTCTCATGATACATAGGGTTTCATGCCATAAAGACAAAGGCTTTTGTTTTCCTTCTGCAAAAATTGGAATGTTATTCTTATGTCTGTTGGCTCTGCCTGGGGCCCTAATGCAAGTGTAGCCATTGCACATTAACATCAAGTTCCTGACAGTGGGCGCGAAGGTGTACGATGATTGCCTTGAGAAATATAAGCAGTGCACCCAAGTGTCCAATAGGTGTTGACTTGCCTTTCTAAGCCATAGGTTTCCATGATGTGTTTGGCCTAAATGGGAGCCTTACATGTATTACATTTTCTATATTTACTAAAGATCCTTTTCACTACAAACATCATTAGCATCGTATACAAATATTTATTGATGTTCACTTGCATCCAAGGCACTGAGACAAAACATAGAATTAATGGTTACTGCCTCTAATATGGTTACCGTATAGCTCAGAAGAGCAGAGGGTAAAAGGACACCGGTGATTTTTCCTAGTTCATTTTAAAACTGGAGACTCTGACACCAGGATGGTTGATTCACCTAAACTTACAAAAGCAGGGAAACGTATCAATTAAAAGAAATAAAAAGATCATGAAGAGCCTCCATGAGATTCTTGTTGCATTGGGAAGCTTTGGTAGCAACACATTGTCACTTCAGTGAAATAAACATAATATTGCATTAAAGATTATTTCCATAGAGAGCTGTTGTCATATACGTTACACACAATATTTGTTTTAAATTTGGCTTCCATTTTAAATATAGTTGAATATAAATAATTCAATGCTCTTGGGTAGTGGAATTAGAGGAGGGCATGGGGAAAATGTATTTGATTCTTTCTGTTATATGTGTGACCGCTCTCAACAATACCTTCTCATTACAGGGATTTCTTAATTTTATTTTAACAAAATGTTAAGTAAGGGAACTCAAGGTGACCATGAAAACAGCTCCGCCTGCAGTGGAGTCTGGAAATCAGCTTAAGTGTAACCAGTGAAAGAAAAGGGCTGAAAAAACTGACCAAATCTGACCTTATATTCCACGAAGACCTTGTTCAGGAAGAACAAACAGAATTATCAGACAAATCCTAATGTCCAGAATTCACTAAGTATTCAGAGAAGTTGCATAGAAGACAGTCCCATTGGCCCAAAAGCCAAAAATGATGGCATAAAATAGAAGAGAACAAAAAAAGGGGTCTTTAAACAAGATGCCACAGCAAAGCAAAGTTCCATCAGTGCTTCAGCCTCCCCAAGGGAATTTGATCACTTCTAATTCAACAATCATAAGAACTGCAAAAATGGCCTTAGAAGTAATAATCTTGTAAGTATTTGCATATGTGTACTTATAACACCTAAATTTTGAGTGTTGGTTGATAATTTATCCAAATCAACTTTTCTGAGATAAATTACAAGCACTTACCTTGCGTTGTTAACATTATTTGGCTCTTTACTTGTTTTACTCACTATTTTGGGGGATGTGCTTTTCATTTCTTTTACTTTCTTTTTTTTTTTTTTGATTTTGTTTCGCACTTGATTCTGACAACATTCTGATCATCAGGTGGGTAATAGCAAAAGTAATATAGGAAAGACAAGCTGTTGGGGGGCTGGGGCCATTGGGAATTCTTCAGGAAGGAGGCTTCAGTATTTGGATGTGGCTTTATTTCATTGCCAATGGAAAGAGCAAGTGAAAATTTGGCAACTTGCCCCATTCACCAAAATGAAGCCATTCTTTTTTCTTTAAAAAAAAAAATATCCACCTGCTTTACAGTTTGGAGATTTCTCAAAGAACCTAAAATAGAACTGCCATTCAATCTAGCAAGCCAACTACTGGTTATATACTCAAAGGAAAATAATCCATTCTATCAAAAAGACATATGCCCTTATATGTTCATTGCAGCACTATTCACAATAGCAAAGACACAGAATCAACCTAAATCCCCATCAACAGTGGACTGGATAAAGAAAGTGTGGTACATACATGCCATGAAATACTATGTACCCATAAAAAAGAACAAAATCATGCCCTTTGCAGCAATGGAGCTAGGTGCCATTATCCTGAGAAACCTATTGTGAAAACAGAACACCAAACAGGGCATGTTCTCACGGCATGTACTCACTAAACATTGAGGACACATAGACATCAAGATGGGAACAACAGACACTGGGGGTCACTGGATGGGGGTGAAGGGGCTGAGGAACCACCTGTTGGGTTCTATGCTCACCTCCTGGGTGACAGGATTGTTTGGACCCCAAACCTCAGCATCATGCAATTTACCCATGTAACAAACCTGCACGTGTATTTTAATCTAAAATAAAAGTTGAAATTAAAAATCTACCTGCTGTAATCAAATAGCTAGGTACCTTTATCTAAAAGATGAATACCAGTGCTTATATTGTTGCTTTTTGCTTATGATTTTAGTCCCCTAAATATCAGATATTGTAGAGTAAACATAGTTTCACACACTGGACTTTAAAAGACACATAACGTCCACAACTTTAATATAAATATGGTGTCATGTAGCCACGAGCAAACATCCACCTTAAGCTGCCAATGCTTCACACAGCTCAGTCCATCTCATTAACTCTCTCTGATCTGACACCTCCCTTGAACTGACTGACTTTCCTCCAACCCACGGAAAGAGCCCACCTAGCAATTGTCCATGCTGTATGTCTCAATCAGCTGAAATAGATATCACTACTGGTAGCAGAGATACACATTAAATAGACAAAGGAGGTTTTCTTTGCACGACTTGTAAATTGCCACCACTGTCACTGCTCCTTCTGCTCATTAAGTGGGTCTCCTTGGTTCGGTCCCTCCCACTATGCAGTCTCTCTGACAGTAAAAGTATCTTCTCCTCTCGCAGCTACCATTTGAAGGAACCTATTGGTCACCTGGGGCTTTATCTGCTCACTGATTCATTTTGGATCTTGCCTCCAAGGGCACTCTATTCCCCGCACTAATCACTTACTATTACCAAGATTCTTCTCTCACCTCTTCCTTGAAGCTGAATACAAAGTCCTGGTTTGTCCGTGAACCTGCAGATGTGAAGCTGCAGGTGCTTATCTGTACGGAGGTTACCAGAAGTCAGTGCAAATCAGGGCTGTCCCTCCAGCAACAAAAATTAATATGTAGCAGAGTTCCAGGCCCCAGCAATGCTTCTTCCCACTTGTATTTACTCATTTTTATAAGGTGTGATTTTAATTCCCCGTGTTTCATGATAAACTGTACCAACGCCGCTCGGTGTTCAAATGCAATTTGTGATTCCGTTACGTGAAGAGACACTATATTAAATAAAAATTAGTCTTAATATCAGGCCCCTCTGTTCTCTAAGCGGGAAACTCATTGCCGAGCAATTCTCATTTACAGTAACACATCTTTGCTTTGAAAACCATGATAGCAGAAAACTGCATAAGGGAGAAGGAGACTGTGCTTCAAAATGTCAAACAACATCTGTTTCCCATTTCTGAGAATTACGGAGCTTTCTGTAGCCCTTTAACCCCGTAGCCCACATTGTATCTGTCCCTTCATAGTTTATGGGCTTTATCTTCAGAAGCCTTTCAGTAAGTGAAACCTAATATAGAAAGTGAATCTCTTCTTCAGGTTCTTTCTGAGGATTAGGGACGAGATTTATTAGAACAACACTGCTCGTGCTACGATGCTTTAAGGTTGTGTCAACATTTCAATTATAAACCCCTGCTTCCAGGGGTGTGCACACAATCTGTTAGAAAAATAATTGTCTAGCTTCAAATTTGGAAAGTGGGGTAGTGATTTGAAGGTCCACATTCGGCTTATGAGACTTTTTAGAAGACACATAGGATTGCCCTTTCTAAGTGTAGAAAAGTCCATCCCAGAGACTATATTTTATACTTCAGACTGTGCCCCAAGGCCCAAGCAAGAATGTCATGCTGAGATTGTAAGTAAAATTGTCGGAGCTAAAAATTCAAATATGATCATGCTAGGAAAAGGCAAAATGGGTCGATGCTTTAACATTTCTTCTGAGAACAAGGCAGAAGTTATTTTGTCGTGCGTAGCAATAGGTCAGTCACATCCTTCTTTCGAATGTAACGTTAGATCAACTGGCCATCTAGGGTTTCTTTTAAGTGATCTGCAGCAAACCTTTCTGCCATCTAGACAAACAATGGCTGAGAGGTCTGACCGAAAAGCACTGGGGAATCAAGGACAGTCGACAACAAAGCTGGGAACGTATTTGAGATTATCTCATTTATCCTCCTCCTTAGTCCTGTCTCCTTTCTCCCTCCGCTCCGTGCCTTCAGGCCGCCCTCCTCGTACTGTGGCCTCAGTCTGTCCCCCCCATTCACTGCCTTGGTGCTAAGACTCCATCTCTTCACCATCCCTGCCACCTGGCATCACCCTCCATCCTGAGCACCTGATTGGTCCAGCACCACATATCACGTTGTAAAGAACCTGCTGGGTTCTTAGTGATTTCCCAGCAGCTGCTAATTTTTACATGGTTGTCTGTCCCAAAGATGTTTATAATCTTTTCAAGGAGCAAAGCTGATGGAATTTAGGGTATCCTACAAGCACAAGAAAAAGATGTTTTTAAGAACAGGTCCTGAAAGTATTCTTCAAAGAACACCACATATGAACAGTCACTAAAACGTTTAAACAATTTCTCAGTTGTTCTATACCCACGTGGAGACTCGGTCATAAACTACAAGTTCCATAAGAGCAGGGTTTTGTAGTTTTGTTTTCCACTAAACACCTGGCACATAAAACATTGTAGATACTCAATAAATATACAGTGAATGAAGGGATAAATTAATTAATGAGCATATCAAATACCTCTTGATCAACTCAAAGCCTTCATTATAAATCACCTACAGATACATTTCCTCAATGCAAAAAAAAATCTATTGTAGTAAAGAAATGACTGCTGATATGTTGGCATCTCAAGTGAGGTGATACAAAAGACAATTTCATAAGAAATAAGTGAGTAACTAAGAGAAATAGCCCAGAGCAATGATCACCCTTTTTTCTGGCTTCTAAGTACCACTGAAACCTTTACTATGTAGAATTTGAAACTGAAAGAAAATCTAACTTTTCTGTCACACTGAGAATCTCCTGTTTCTCAAATATGAAAAATATCTCAAATTGGTATTTTTTAAATATGCAGTGATTTGCCAATTCAGCCAAATAGATTGTAAGTGCTATGAAGGCAAGCTGATACAATTTTTTTTTACATACCTGCAAAGGTCCTAATGGTGGGCTGCCCCCAGAATGCATTAAATAAAGGCATATTATGTTGAATTGTGTCTTAAGAATCAAGACTCTCTCTCTTCACCCCTCCTCTGTAGCCAACATTGTATCTAAACTGCTAATGAGCCTCAGAATCTGCTTTGATTTTCATCTACTCTCCCTTCCTCTGCCAAGGTTCAGAACATGCAAGAAAAAGAGATAAAAGAAGACGACATGGAAAGAGAAACATCCTGACAGCCAGACCTTAGGTACTTAGATGATATAATAGGAGCATTTGAAGAAAGTTCATGTATGGCTTATCTATATTTTCTAAAATAAACCAGTATTACCTTCTTGAAGAAAATGGCATATTTATTCGTTATAATGAAGTCTCATGCCACTGTTGGTTGAGAAACATATCTTGGCCACTGAACCACTTCTGGTCTATTCCTTTGCTCCCTGTCCCTTAGAACAACAGGAGCAGAAGATCCCAAAGGCATTTCCACCATGGATGATATTCCAAGCTATTGCACCTATTTTTTTTTTTTAGATGAAGTCTTGCTCTGTTGCCAGGTTGGAGTGCACTGGCATGATCTCAGCTCACTGCAACCTCCACCTCCTGGGTTCAAGTGATTCTCCTGCCTCAGCCTCCCAAGTAGCTAAGACTACAGATGCATGCTACCACGCCCAGCTAATTTTTGTGTTTTTCAGTAGAGACGGGGTTTCTCCATGTTGGCCAGGATGGTCTCGATCTCTTGACCTCATGTTCCGCCAGCCTCAGCTTCCCAAAGTGCTGGGATTACAGGCGTGAGCCACCGCACCTGGCCTCTTCTGTTATTTCTATGTGGCCTTTCTGCAGAACTAAAAATACACTGAAGTTCCCCACTTCAACTCTCTCTCTAATTCTGTTTCAATTAGTAGACAGAGTTCTGATTCCTTCCATGGAAACTAAGGGTGTTCATCTCTTGGAAGTTGCATTCTGCTAGCGAATTGCGAAGAGGGACACCCTCTATGCAGCACAAAAAAAAATGCATTGTGCTTCTAAGTGTTTGTGCCTTTAGTATTAATAGCAATTTGTTCACAAGAACAAGAAAAAAAACCTCCATGCTCTGGCACAACCAGAGTCTGATTTCATTCCAGCAACTAACAACGACAACGACAACAACAAAAGCAAACCCTTTTTTTTTCGGTTTAATTAAATTCTTTCAAGCCATGTGGAGCAATACTGCTGGGTAGATCTTGTAAGAAGAGATAATTAAAACACAAACAAACTAGTTCTTTCATTTGCAATGGCAGCGACTGCACATGCTTAGGACAGCTAGCCCTAACAAAATCCCAAAGGATTCTTAGTATGCAAACCCAGTCGGCTTTAGAAACAGGTTCAGCAGTTTGTTATAGAGCTAGAAACCCCTTCACACTGGGAATCGGGCGGGATATCTTTGGAAAGTCAGACTTTTTCTGAGACATCACCAAGGAGCTGGGCAAATGAAATGATGCCTTTGGCAACGGGCTCTCAGCAGACTCATGGGTCTCAAAAAAGAGCTTTCTCATTCTGCAGTCTTGAGCCGAAGTCAAGCAATCACGAATCTCTAGGCCTTTTCAAAGGAGAATTAAAGTGAAAGGAGAGAAAAATGTTTTCATACTCATAAATGTATTTTCCCCCAAATGCTAGTAGAAGCTGTTTTCAGAATCCACATGTTATATGTTCTGATTGGAAGTGATATCTATATCTCGCCACACTGTCTGTGATGTTTCTAGGGGACTGTCCATAGAGTTGACAACCTTATTAAACGTAGTAAAGTGTATTGACCTTGTGAATTCTCTGTGGTAACTTTGAGATAACACAGCATTTGGAGTGAGATCCACCAAAATTAGAACCGTGCCTTCTCATGTGACCTTGGCAAAGTCACAGTACTTTCTGAGCATTCATCTTCTCTTGAAGGTAAGGACAAGGATAGCTGGTCTTAAAGCAGATGTTTGTCATTCCAAACTCCTGTGGTCCAACTGACTTCAGTGCAGCTGTGACAGACAGTTCTTGACTTGTTTAAAAGTGTCCTATCTTGAGCCTGACATGGTGGCTCACACCTATAATCCCAACACTTTAAGGGACAGAGTTGGGAGGATAGCTTGAGGCCAAGAGTTTGAGATCAGCCTGGACAACATAGTGAGACACACCCCCTATCTCAAAAAAAAAAAAATGGCCAGCATGATGGTTCACACCTGTAGTCCCACCTAGTTTGGAGGCTTAGGGGGGAAGATCCCTTGAACTCAGGAGTTGAAGGCTGCAGTGAGCCATGATCACACCACTGCAGTCCAGCCTGGGTAACAGTGTGAGACCCTATCTTGAAAAGAAAAAAAAAATGGTGTTCATCCTTGGACATAAGCCCTTCTATCTGTGACTTCTCTGCCTCCTGGCTTTCTCTGAAGGTTTTGGAGGCTACTCAGTTCACGCACAAGCACAGCCTATTCCCCCTATAGGGGCAACCTTGAACCAGCGCAGGACAGAAATCAGGGGACAAATGCCCTGCCTCCCTGTTCTCCGGTAGGACAATTCTGATGTGGTTTTTCAGTGGCTTTTTTTCCTGTACCTGTTCTATTCTATACTCCCTCACTTCCAATTCTTGGGATCAATTCCCAAGAGAATGAACTACTGGCACCCAAGGGTCTTGCTTTGTCACCCAGACCCAAGTGAGTTCTGTCATCCAGGCTGCAGTGGTGCAACCCTGGCTCACTGCAGCCTCAAACCCCTGAGCTCAAGCGATTCTCCCACCTTGGCCTCTTGTTTCAGATTCTACTTTAGAGGAGACAAACTGGGATGTTTCTTAGTCCTTTCTCCATACTTGTTGCGTGGGTTAAATAAGATAACAAGTGGAAAGACTTCTTTGCAGACTCTAAATGTATGGATAAATGTTAGTTAAAATATTAAAAGTGTTTCTAGCTATTGTTGGGATCTAAGGTTAAACTGAAAATACTGATTGTTACTATTTTGTGAGTTATTTCTATTACAACATGTTGTACTTGTCAGATTTATAATAAACATGTTTGGGGCACCGAAATATGTGGCAATATAGAAAAAAATGAGTGAACAACTTTGGTGGATGGAACTACCCACATCCTATCAGGCTTCTGTAACTTCATTCTTGTTTTTTTTGTTGTTGTTTGTTTTGTTTTGTTTTGTTTGTTTGTTTTTTGCGACAGAGTTTCACCCATGTCACCCAGGCTGGAGTGCAATGGCGTGATCTCGGCTCACTGCAACCTCCACCTCCCAGGTTCAAGCGATTTTCCTGCCTCAGCCTCCTGAGTAGCTGGGATTACAGGCACCCCCCACCATGCCCGGCTAATTTTTGTATTTTTAGTAGAGACGGAGTTTCAACATGTTGGCCAGACTGGTCTTGAACTCCTGACCTCATGCGAACCTCCCGCCTCAGCCTCCCAAAGTGCTGGGATTACAGGCATGAGCCACCATGCCCGGCCCTTCATTCTTGTGTGGCAGTACCTGCCACACACTTCATTCTTGTGTGGCAGGTCCCCAGAAAGTCTGTCCTGGCCTCATTCTCCCATCTAATTCCTACTTATCCTTCAACTCTCAACTCCTTCATTCATTCATTCATTCATTCATTTGCCAGTGTTTCTTGAGCATTGCTATATGCCAAATTTAAGTATGCTTGAGCTGGAGTGCAATGGTGCAATCTCAGCTCACTGCAACCTTCACCTCCTAGGTTCAACTGATTCTCCTGTCTCAGCCTCCAGAGTAGCTGGGATTACAGGAATGTGCCACCACGCCCGGCTAATTTTTTGTATTTTTAGTAGAGACAGGTTTTCACCATGTTAGTTAGGCTGGTCTCGAACTCCTCACCTCAGATGATCTGCCCCCTTCGGCCTCCCAAAGTGCTAGGATTGCAGGCGTGAGCCACAGTGCCCGGCCAAGTCATTATTTTTCTACCACCTTTATTGTGAACCCATCTAAACCATGCTTTTGGTGTACTGTCCTCATGTTTTTTTGGCACATAACAGAAGGCACTAAAAAATTTTAAGGTCAGTAATTTTAGCTATTACCTACAGCCTCACTCCTAGGCTAAAACGAAAGTAAGTCTGAGGCCATGGTCTGCCATATATGTGGTTACTTATTACATACTTTTTATTAGCAAGTATATTGTTTTACAGGGACTACCATCACAAAGTAACACAGACTGGGTGGCTTAAACAACAGAAATTTATTTTCTCACTGTTCTGGAGGCTGGAAGTCTTATTTTAAGGTGTCAGCAGGCTTGAATTCACTCTGAGTTCTCTCTCTTTGGCTTGGGGATGGCCACCTTCTCTCTGCGTACTCACAGGGTTGTCTCTGTGTCCTAATCTCTTCTTACAAGGACATCAATCCAATTGTTTATTTGGATATGACCTCACTTTGCCTTAATTACCTTTTAAATGCCTAATCTCTAAATACAGGCGCATTCTGAGTTCCTGGAGGTTAGGACTTCAATATATAAATTTGGGGGAGGGACACAATTTAGCCCAAAACAGCAAGTAGAAGAACAGTGTGGACGCTCTATTGTGTAAGTTTGCTGAGGACCTAACTCTCCATCCTTCTAGATGCTCTGACCTCACTGCTTGGAAGATCCATTGAGGGCTGACACAGAACCATTTCAAAGGCAGTCTGCTGTCACTCTTGTTGGCACCAGACAACCAGAAATCCTTTTAAAGAATGGAGTCTTAGAGAATGATTTAGGAACTTTAGGAGAACATTCCTAACGATAAAGTCTAGACTTCATTGGATTCTATAACTTATTCTCATAAGCGTGAAGGGCATCTAAAGCATTTTGGCAAATCCACATAACCTTAATTTCCCCAAGAGCCTGTTTCTAACATCCATCATGCTAATTACAAACCTACTCATTTCCCAATAAAACCCATCCCTGCTGTTTACTTGGCTCAATAGCAGAGCTCAGGTCCTGACTAAGATTTTTTTTGAAGACAGGGTCTCACTCTGTTGCCCAGGCAGGAGTGCAGTAGTTCTATCATAGCTCACAGCAGCTTTAAACCCCCGGGTTCAAGCAGTGCTCCTGCCACAGTCTCCCAAGTAGCTGGGACTCTAGGCATGGGCCAGCATGCCCAGCTAATTTTTTTTTTATTTTTTGTAGAGACAAGGTCTCACTCTGTTGCCCAGGCTGACTAAGATATTGATGGCTGAAGTACACCATACTGGCTTCCCATGGAGTATAGCTTTTCTGATTCAATAACCAGATTTCTGATTCTATAACCGATTCTAGCTAACCAGCCCCAAAGTGTGAATGTTTAATTACAGTGACCAACAGCCGCCAGAGTTGAAGTTTAAATGAACCAGCGCGTTCATAAGACCGAGTAGGCACGTCTTTGCATAGGTGCATCACAGAACACCACTCTTCAGGCATTCTTTCCGTCCTAAATTCTACCAATCTGCTGCGCATCTTGTCGTTTTTGACCATGCTGTCCCTCAACCTGGCAGACTTAGCTTTTCCCTGGTACTTACTCCTACACACCTTCCCAAGCCCAGCTAAAATATCTCTGAGTCAGAGATTCCATTCCTGAATCCGTGGCTAAATGAATTTGCCTGTTGTCCTCATTCATAGCACCCTGTACTTTTTCTCAGCATGCATAAGACAACTTCCAGCAATTATTTGTTTGTTAAATGTCAGTCAACCATGAGGGTTCATGAGAGCAGAAGCTATGTCAGTTTTTTTCACCATTGTAATCCCAGGGCCTGACATTTATTAATTCTCATAGTTGTCCACTAAGTCATTAGATGTTATTTGAGCACCTACTATGTGCCAGAAGTGAAAATACATGTCCCTGTCTTCATGGAACTTACTGTCTGCTAGAGAAGAGGACATCTAGACATGTATAAAGACTGCCTCTGACCTTATCCCGTGGGGTGGTCAGTCCTCTGACCCTCTTATCTAAATCATATCTATCACATTGTCTGGTGTTTATTTACTTACCTCTCTCCTCCACTGGACAGTAAGTTTGAAAGGGGAGACATTTTTGGGTTTGTTTCTTTGTCCCGACTATTTGGCTTGAATGCTAGACACTTGGTAGGTACTCAGTAGGTGTTTGTTAGATAAAATCCAGTCACATATCACAGTGCTGGGATATCTAGTCATTGCAATAAATCTATCAAGAAAACACTGAATTGCTGGGCACAGTGGCTCACGCCTGTAATCCCAGCACTTTGGATCACTTGAGGTCAGGATTTCGAGACCAGCTTGGCCAACTTGGTGAAACCCTGTCTCTACAAAAAAAAATACAATTAGCCGGGCATGGTGGCGGGCACCTGTAATCCCAGCTACTCAGGAGGCTGAGGCAGGAGAATCACTGGAACCAAGGAGGCAGAGGTTGCAGTGAGCCGAGATCACGCCACTGCACTCCAGCCTAGATGACAGAGTGAGTCTCAAATAAATAAGTAAATAAAAGCACTGAATTTAGGAATGATATGTCTCACCATCTTTTTTTTCTTTTTATTGACTTTTTTTTACATTTCCACTGGAAGTGTCCATTCACAAATGCAGACATAAGGAGTAAATTAATTTAAGTGAACCAAGACACTAACATTTGCAAAAGGCTTCCAAAAGTATCGTTTCCATTGGCAAATGCATCCTGACAGACTCTGAATGAAAAATTTGGACTGGGACATACTTAACTTCAACTGTAAAGAACGTCTCCTCTTAACAATTATATGAATTTCAACTAACGTTTGTGGACTTTTTGGAAACATTGGCACCAGGCCTTGGAGACACAACCTGTCTATAGCTTCAATCCACCATAAAGACATGAAGACATATTTTTAAATTGTTAGGGAAACATTTAAGCCCTTATGGAGATACTCATATTTCCTTCCTTCCTTCTTTCTTTCCTTCCTTCCTTCCTCTTTCTCTCTCTTTCTTTCTTTCTTCCAACATTTATGCCCTTATGGAGATACTCATATTTCCTTCCTTCCTTCCTTCTTTCTTTCCTTCCTTCCTTCCTCTCTTTCTTTCTTTTCTTTCTTTCTTTCTTTCTTTCTTTCTTTCTTTCTTTCTTTCTTTCTTTCTTTCTTTCTTTCTTCTTTCTCTTTCTTTCTTCCTCTCTTTCTTTCTTGCTTGCTTGCTTGCTTTCAGAGACGGGGCCTCGCTATGTTGCACAGTGACTATTCATGGGTACAATAACAGTGCATCGCAGCCTTGAACTCCTGGGCTTAAGTGGTCCTCTTGCCTCAGCCTCCTAAGTATCTGGGATGACAGGCACTCATATTTTCTGAATCTCTAGCCTGAAAACATAATCTATCAGTGGACTTTTGTCTCTTTGACATAGTTTTATTATAAGGCTTTGCACTTTAATTAATTTGATTGCAATTTTTTTTAAAATGGGAAATTCCTAGACATTGAGACTCTTTAAGAGAGAAATGAGATTGAATATTTAAGTAAATTCTGACTTGGAAAATAATGGCTTAAATAGTCACTATGACTTTAAACCACTAAGTGAATCCCTCACTGTAATTTTTTGTACCATCATAAAGTTTGCAAATACTTTTATTTTAATTTCAGGATGGCTTAGCAAATAGATCTGGAGTGGTTTTAGGGACAGGCGGTTTGCCCAACTGCCAAAACTTACCTGCCAGATCATTTGTTAATGCCTGAAATTATACCATTAAAAATTCATCCCTTTGGTCTAAGGCTCAGTTCCCTGCTAAAATGCAAATGTCCCTGGGAAAGACAACACTTAAAATAGTGAAGTTCATTTATCCCTAACTCTTGTCTCAATGTTTAAATAGAGAAAAGAAAAGATGTGCTACTCAAACTACATGAAAGAAAAGGCTCTAGTAAATAAAATAAATAAATAAATACAAAATCTGGATGTGCTAAATTGACAGGACACTTTTTCCTAAACTTTACGCTGAAGCAGATTTGGAACATATGATTGAGCTGGGCAATGCAATCTTACTAGGCCTACATGTGGAGAATAGGAAAAAAAAAAAAAAAAGACAAGAAAATCTTTCTTGAAACACTTCTTGACGTTTCTCTCATTACTGACCCAATCATAATAAACAGCTGATAATCTCAAAGTAAACCACTTCTGATATCTGTTGCTTAATAGTAAGCTGCTATAGTTAGCATTACTACATAAATCAATTTGTTCCTGGCCAACACTGGAATTACAGAACCCAAAAGGGCTATAGGAAATTCTCCTAGGTAATTGATACATTTAGCTGAGTCAGTGCTGAATTAAATACTTGATGATGAGATATAAAGCCTAGGAGCCAACCAACCACATATGACCAAAAGAGAATCACCTGTGATTGCCTCAGAAAATCAATGTACTGAATATCCTATTCAAATTGCATCTTGAGGCTTGAAGAAGAAAGCTGAGTATAAAGTCACTAAGGGCTGGGTGCAATGGCTCATGCTTGTAATCCTAGAACTTTGGGAGGCCAAGGTGGGAGAATCACTTGAGCTTAAAAAATTAGAGTCAAGCTTGGGCAAAACAGTGAGATATCATCTCCAAAACATTAAAAAATCAAAAAATTAGCCTGGCATGGTGGCATGCACCTGTAATCCCAGCTACTCGGGAGGCCAATGCAGGAGGATTTCATGAGCCCAGGAGTTAAAGACCAGCCTTGGCAACACAATGAGACCCCATCTCTATTTATTTTAAAAAAATTAATAAAGCCACTAAGATGATTAGAAAGGAAGTTACCTGTAACCTCATTAGAGGACTTTCCCTTGATTCCATTCCCTCCCCTAGCTAAAAAGGGACAATGTCATATTCCTTCCTACTCTTCCTATGCGTGTGTCTTTTCCTTCCCTTGCAGATAGAGATGGCCACCATGAACGCTGGGTGCTCTGCTGAACCTGCTCCACACCCAGTCTTCTCCAACCGAGGCCAAGTCTCCAGACTAAGGCTTCCTAGGGCACGACCATATGTCTGTGCCGCAAGGTAATGGTTAAACGGAGTATAGACCACACGAGTTATCAGCAGCATGGAACACGAGCACTAGATAGCCACTCTGCACCCTCAGTCTCTGTTGAACAAGAAATGCTTACTGTGGTGATGCCTCACAGTAAGGTAATACAGTTTTAAATTTTCTGCTCTCAAGACAAATTGATTGTTGGTGTAAAAGCTCCAGACTTTGAAGAGGCCATATTCATGAAAATCTATTATTTAAGGAATAAGGCTGAGAAACTATATTTCTGTATCATAAAAGCCTTGATTAAGATAAAGCTATTACTTAAACAAATAGCTTAGGCTTGAGAATAGAAAAATTAATATACACATTAGTGTCATTAATACACAGCAACCTGAGACTAAGCCTTCACAGCGGCGAATGAATTACATCAGGTCAAAGTGATCCAATTTGCCATTTTGCTATCATAATTCCAAGAGAATAGCAGGTCTCATGCTTCTAGGTGCCCACTAGGTATTTTGAACACTTATTTAAGCCAGTCACAAATTAGACCACTTAAGTTCTCATTCAAGTTTGATTTAACGACAGTTGAGTGGGAATGATTATAATTTCTTACTTCCCAAAACCATCAGGTCTAATAACATTCATAAATTGATTTTTTTACACTTTGTTAAGTAAATTCAGGCAACAGCCACTTAGTAATGACATCATAGCATTTTTAAGGTGGTAAAATCATTCTGTTCCAAAAGAAAAATAAAAGAGTAGCCCTCCTCCAGGTCCCAGGGGCCTTTCCTTCTGCCTTTTAATCCAGAGTAGTTCTACTTTCTAATGCCCAAAGCACCCACTTCTCACCTTCCTCCCATGGCCCCACCTCCCCATTGATGTTTTCATATTACCCCTGCCCTCTCCAATCAAAAGGAGAAACTTTAACAACCCAGGACTATTTTAGACCAAGACTAAGGTTTGTATGCCCTAATATGCCACTCCTTCTAGAATGTTTGGAGTTGAAAACACTCTGGACCCCACTGGCCATCTCCTGGTGGGAACTGGGGGGATTCATGGATACACAGGAATCCCATCACATGGCAGCCATTGCTAGAGGAGTGATATGGTTTTGCTGTGTCCCCACCCAAATCTCATCTGGAACTGTAGTTCCCATAATCACCACGTCTTGGGAGGGACCAGGTGGAGATAATTGAATCATGTGGGCAGTTTCCCCCATCCTGTTCTCGTGATAATGAGTAAGATATCACGAGATCTGATGGTTTTATAAGGGGCTTGCGTCTTTGGTGAGCTCTCATTCTTCTCCTTCCTGCCACCAAGTGAAGAAGTACATGTTTGCTTCCCCTTCTGCTATGATTGTAAGTTTCCTGAGGCCTCCCCAGCCATGCTGAACTGTGAGTCAATTAAACCTCTTTCCTTTATAAATTACCCGATCTCAGGTATGTCTTTATTAGCAGCATGAGAACGGACTAATACAAGGTGTTTTCACAGAGATCATTTCATCTAATACTCAAAATGACTCTTTTCAGTCACCCTGAACATCTCTCTTTTTGGAGGTTAAATAAATTTGCTAAAAACACATATCCAATAAATACCAGTTTCAGGACTCCAAACTGAATCTACCTGACTCTCACTCTACTGCTTACAGACTTTTTGTTATGCCAAGCTTAACTCCAGTGAATCTCTAATGGGAGAATGTTAGCCATGGTCCAAAAGAGTGAGTGATATTGTTGATAGATTGAGTCCCCTGAGTGGCAGTAAGTCACCACCCCTGAATCTCTGCTTGAGGCTATCTTTCCCTGCTTGTGTGTTTTCTTTACCACTTTCGAGCTTCAGTGCTTTTCCCATTCCAAGCTAGACCTGTGTTTTTTAAATCCATCATTATTCAGTCATTCTTTAGAGTGGAAATCCTCTCAAGACCTCAAGGCACCGTATAGAAAAATATTGCATAATGAACAATAAACATTTTGATTACCAGGAGGGCACACGTAAGAAAGCTGCGTTCTTTCTTTCTTCTAGTCCTAGGGGAAGAAGGGGAGTTTTAAGAAGCTGAAATGGGCTCTTTTCCCATAGCTCCCACCAGTCTCCCTCTCACTCCTACTGAATATGAAGCCTCCACTGGACAGATTTTCTTACTTGGTTCCCCCCGCTGCCAACCTAGTAAAATGTAGATCTATTGCTTTACCAACATCTAGAGGATATTCCCCTGTCCCCAACCATAAGTCTTCACTGCTTCTCCAAATTAATTTAAAACATCAAGGAAACAACACATGAGGCCTCCAGAAGGCAATTAATGTGTCTCGTTAGAGCAAGCTGTCTGATGCCACCTACCTGACTGTTTGAGTTGCCTTGTTGACTGTCTCTAGCCTGATCAGAGGCAAAGCAAGAAGGGACATTAAATCCAACATGGACCACAGTGCATAGAGACATAAGCATGAAGATGAGTGGAGTGAACAGTAGAGACGGTTCCAATGTGTCTTCAGTAACCAGGCATTATGTTTCAATTGTATCTCCCTCCCCACCCCATAAATATGGGTACACTAGAGTCCTAATCCCTAGTACCTTCATATGTGACCTTATCTAGAGACAGGGTGTCTCTACAGAAGTAATCAAGTGAAAACGTCGTCATTAAGGTGTCCACAATATGGACAATATGACCATCCCTATGATGCCTGTCCTTACAGAAAGGGAAAATTTGGACACAGAGACAGACATGCATAAAGAGAAGATGATGTGAACAGTCACAGGGAGAAAGAAGATAGCCATTTACAACCCAAGGAGAGACGCCTGGAACAGACCCATCCCTCACACCCCTCAGAAGGAACCAACCCTGCCAACACCTTGATCTTAGACCTCAGCCTCCAGAACCAAGAGACAATTACCTTCGGTTGCCTAAGCACCCCAAGCCCGTGGTACATTGTTACAGCAGCTCCAGCAAACTAATGTACCCAGACACTAAGTTAACATAACTGGACAGTCGGTGAGTGCTCTCAAACCCTGAAATTATATTATATTCCCAATGCAAAAAGAATAATGGAGGGTGAATCTTCCAGCCCATTAAATAGTGTTCCTATCCTAAGAGAATGGGGTAAAGAGTGTAATTTATCCCAAGATCACAAGTTAGATGTTAGCTCCCCTATTGGAGGGCAGGGGTATAACTATGGAAAAGAGTTTGGAAACCAAAATCCACTTAAAATAAAAGCTTGTACATTATAAGAAGCATATATTCCTACATCAATGCTATAGTTTGATTCCACGAGAGAGTGGGTGAGGGAAAGACAGGAGGAGGGAAGGGGATGTACTCAGACTGCTCATGGGGTCAAGACTTCCTAGAGGGCCCAGAAGACAGCAGCAGGTTGGTTTATAACCGGCCTGGGAATGGGAATCCCTCCAATGGCAATTTAATGTTTTTTTCTTCCTCTAAATTGTGTGTCACTTCAGTTAGTATCTAAGGTGGGCTGGTAGGAGGTGGGGCAGATAACCCAAGTAATGAATTCAAGTACCTTGGAGAAAATCTTTTACTGTTATTTTACCAGCAAATTATTCTTCATGTGGGTATCTCCTTTGGGAGCCAGAGTCTGCGGAGGAGAGAGGTAAAAAGGTAGCTCTGCTCTCTATGTGAGTCCCCAGGCCACTCTGTGGAAAGGTGCTCTGGGATTACAGTGTGGACTGAGAGTCACAGTCCCCAGTGTATTTGTTGGACAGTGACCTTCATTAGTTTCAGAACCTAGTCTGGAAGTTGCTTTATCTAACAAGGATGATATTATTGAGTTGTGTCTTAAGACCATTGGCTGCAAAGTAGGTTGTATGGAAAGTAATTGCTGGCTGGACACAGTGGCTCACATCTGTAATCCCAACACTCTGGGAGGCCAAGATGGGAGGTTCACTTGAGGCCAGGAGTTCAAGACCAGCCTGGGCAACAAAGTAAGACCCCCTTCTCTACAAAAAAAAAAATCAAAAAATTAGCTGGAGTGGTGGTGCACACCTGCAGTCCCAGCTACATGGCTGAAATGGGAGGATCTCCTGAGTCCAGGAGGTTGAGGCTGCAGTGAACCATGATCATACCACTGCACTCCAGCCCAGGCTGCAGAGTGAGACTCTGTCTCAAAAAAAAAAAAAATCAAATCAAAAACAAAAAAAAGTAAACAATAAACAAAAAATAAAACACAAAGTAATTGCTAAGCAAATAGCAAACAAAGAAACTCTGATGAATCCTTCCAGTTATTCCTCTTACATATTCACTTTACGTAAAGGGGTGTATTCACTTTACACAATGTGATACTTACCCCTCTCTCTGTTCTTATCCTTTGGGCCCTGTATTTGTTTCCTGGGGCTGCTATAACAAATTAGCACAAACTTGGTGGCTTGAAGTAACAGAAACGTATTATCTCATGGCTCTGGAAAACAGAAGTACCACATCAAGCTGCTGGCAGAAGCCCACTCCTTCCAGGGGCTCTAGGGGAGAATCACTTTGGGTGGCTGCAGGTGTCCTAGGCTCAAGGCCACATCACTCCAATCCCTGCCTCCATATGCACCTTGCCTTCTTCTATGTGTGGGTCTCTATCTAATCTCCCTCCACCTGTCTCATAAGGAAACACACAAGTACATTTAGAGTCCCCCGGATAATCCAATGCAAGCTCTTCTAAAGACCCTTATCTTCTGCTCAAGACCCACATCTTCTCAAGACCCTTATCTTCTATCTCAAGACCCTCATCTTCTGTTATATAAGGTGATATTCACTCTTTTGCCATATTCACAGGTTCTGAGAGTTAGGAATTGAATATAACCTTGAGAGACCTTTTCTTTTTTCTGCCTATTACAGGTCCAAACCACCAGTCTCTTAGGTTAACTTTTGGAAGCTTATCTTTTAAAGGTCATCAATGTAGTGTTTATTTCAACGCTAGTCCCAGACCTCATGCAAAACTGCATTTAAGACTTGAAAGATTGAGACTTCACTGTTGACTTGAGTCACAGCCCTCCTTTTTTTCCTGTTTGTTTATAATATTTAGCCAGCTTTTTTTTTTCAAAAAGTAAAAATATTGGTTCTCAACCATCTTGAGATCTGATAAGGGTAGTAAGAGAAACCAAGCCTTCAATCCTCATTTGTACTCTTTCTTTTAGATTAAGCAGGGTTCTGGTCAAGGATATAAAAGCACATTTATAAGATGGCTTAGCCTTAGAAAAATTTGTACAAAGCTGTGTATTTTTCTCCTCAGTTGCCAGGACTATAACTGAGCTCTACATGTAAGTGTGCACTTTCCATGTTTTCACATACCGAGGGGCTTTAATGTTCATATATTATTTTTCTCTGAAAACATTATTGTACACATTTTTCTCTCTTTTGCTATTTTTTTGTTGGCCTCAGTCACCCCAGTCCTTTTCTTTCTAAAATCACACAGCACCAGAGAACAAACTGAAGAGAAATAAGAACTTCTAAAAGTACTCTGGAAAAAAAAAATTAACTCAAAATTGATCTTACAGTCTTGCAAAAGGTGATATTTGGGGGAATGATAGTTACTTGATCTAATATTTGAATAAATACTATCTGGCATTGAGCATAATTTCAGATTTGTTACCAAGAAATGAATACATATGTATATTTTTTCTGGTAATTCAGAGAATGTTTTAAATATGATATAGATATGTAAATATATTTAGAAGTGTCGTTCAAGACCAAGAATCATTTGCTACACTTGGAGTGGCAAGGCTTTAGAAAGTCAGTGATGCTCAACCCTAACTGTATATTAAAATCTTCTCAGAGCTTTTTTAAAAAATACCAGTGCCTGGACTCCACCCCAAAACAATCGAATCAGAATTTCTGGGAGTAGGGGTGGTGTTGTTTCTGTTGTAATTCCAAATCCCGTAGATGATTCTAATTGTGGAGCGTATGTTGGGAATACAGATTCAGTATTCCTTGTACTGATGAGGAAATCAAGACCTACGGAATGAGGTGATCTGCCTACTTTCTGCCTGTGGATGTGACCAAGAATACCAAAAGAAAAGGCTGCAAATAAGCAGCAAGAAATAGTAAATAATTTAAGATAAAATTATTGTAGAGAGGAGCAAGGGAGACTGCCAGCAGCAGCAGAAATGGCTCTCTGGCTGCCAAGGGTGAGGATTGTGAAAATGTAAATCCTGCTTAAATCCTTTATCGCCCGACTGTGTGCATACCAGCAAGCCGGCTTTAGAAAAATATATCTATGAAACTGCTTCCTAAAAGTTTGAGGTTTGCGGGAAGCCCGGCAAGAGAGCAAACTCTGAAATTCCAGAACTGACTAGTTAAGGAAATAAAAGCTGAGGAATCTCCATAGAAAGTAATTTCACCGTGTGAACTATCTTTGTGCTTATTTGTATTGTTTTTAAGTATTACTGTAATTTGCATATATTCTTATGAGAGTTGGTGAGTTGAAATAGTTATTATCTGATGACAATTATTACAACTTTCCTGTCACCATTTTCCATAGTCTTATCGTCATCATTCCTGCAAACAAAAGAAAAAAACTAAAAATTATTTTAAATTGGTGAATGGCAATTTTGTTACACGAACTTTTTCCCTTGGATGGAACAAATCACTTGATTATTACTCGATTCATATCAAAATAAGCTGTAAATTCCAGTTTATTTTTCTTTTCCCAGGTTTCTCCCCGGCCCGCTATTCTCAGGAACTTTCATCCAAGGTTTTGATGTGCTAATTTGCTCATCAGTACCCACTAGCCTTCCTTGGTTTAATTAATAAATATTTCCTGTTGACAAAGGAAGGGGAAACTGAAGTCTAATTCATGAATTTGATCATTGTGTTTCTCCCCACTGTGACCCTCACTTGAAATTGGTCTTGAGTCTTATCAGCCGCTCCATTTTAGGCCTTGTCATTTGCATATCAAATATATCATTGTAAGCAGGCTGCTCGCAGCCCTGGCCTGCAGACAGTTACAGAACCAGCTGCCCACTGGAGGGGCAGGGAAACATCTGTAAACCCACTGTGAGTACAGGAGAAGAATGAGAACAGAGGATTGCCCTACTCTCCTCTTCAGAGTCTCTCCTCCAGAAATCCAGGTCTTCTGGTACCCTGTTGTCATACACTTGGCATACGTATTTATTTACTTACGGAATTTTTAATCTTCCGTATTTACTCTTCTGAAATTAGAATGATAACACAAGATGCTCTAAACCTTCAACTTGACTTTCTTGTCTTCAAAACCTCACCTAGCCACTAAGAATACTTTAGCAGATCCTAATAGGGACATAACTCAAAAGCATTATCATTACAGAGAATTAGGATACATCAGAATGATCTGACTTCACTATATTAGCTGACTTCAATATAGCTTCCCTTGAAACCATTTTGTTTTCTCTCAGTTAAGGACAGGCTGATGATGGCTACTCACTCAAATTAAGTCCCCCCGCCTCCTTTTTTTAAGAACTTAGGAAGCTGGTTTACAAAATTACTAGCAGCACCATAATTCTATTCCCATTCTTCATGTTTGACCTGCCCACATTTTTCAATCCACCCCCTCCCTAGAATTCACCTGTTATTGTTTACATATACAGTATGTAAGATTGTTTGTAAGATTCCTCAGATGTAATATGCAAACCTCTGGCAGGGTGAAAGATGTTTCAAAGATTTTAGAATTGTGTTCCTAAGCTGTTTTATTCATATGACCCACATATCTGAAGAGCGCTTTAGAGATGTGATCTCAGGCACTTGAAAACACAATAACCAACCAAGAGCCAGCCCTAAGGCTGATGTCTAGCTTTTTTCTTTTTTCATTTTTCTTCCTTTTTTTTTTTTTTTGTTGAGATGGAGTCTCACTCTGTTGCCCAGGCTGGAGTGCAGCGGCGTGATCTCGGCTCACTGCAACCTCCACCTCCCGGGTTCAAGCGATTCTCCGGACTCAGCCCCCTAAATAGCTGGGACTACAGGTACCCGCCACCACACCCGGCTAATTTTTGTATTTTCAGTAGAGACGCGGTTTCGCCATATTGGCCAGGTTGGTCTCAAACTCCTGACCTTGTGATCCACCTGCCTCGGCCTCCCAAAGTACTGGAATTACAGGCATGAGCCACCGCGGCTGGCCTGATGTCTAGCTTTTAAGAGGTCCATGCACAGCCCCAGAAGCAGGAGTAACAGGAAAATAATGCCATGGACTATATTGATTATTTGCTTAGAAGTGGCAATATTAGAGTGGAAAGATACACGTCAGTTCTATTCACTGTGCTGAATGAATTAGGCAGGAATATTGAAAAAAAAATACTGTGGTTCTTTATCTCAGGCACTATTATCTAGTGCATTATTATGTGGCATAGTGGCAAGAGCACTCCATTTGGAGGCTGAAGATCTGAGTTTTATTTCAATTTTGCCACCAATTAAACATCTGCCATTTGAGCAAGTTCCATTCTATGTGTGGACATCCATTTCTCCATCTGCAATATGAGACACTCAGATTACATGAACATGCATTAAACTGTGAACCTCAGACATGTTACCAAGTGCTCCTCAAAAAAGATTTACGGACCAAGAAGCAGCTTCTCTGCTCCTTCTGGAATCTCAGCCTGGTTCAGCCCGCCTGCTTCCACTCCTGCCTCCACCATATCCATCAGGGTGACCCAGAAGTCAGTCCTACAACGTGTCCACCTCTGGCCCCCAGACTTTCAGCAGCCGCTCCTACACAAGTGGGCCCAGTGCCCGCATCAGCTCCTTGAGCTTCTCCCGAGTGGGCATCAGCAGTTTCCAGGGTGGCCTGGGTGGAGGCTATGGTGTGGCCAGCGGCATGGGAGGCATCACGCCATCACAGTCAAACAGAGCCTGCTGAGCCCCCTTAATCTGGAGGTGGTCCCCAACATCCAGACAGTGCACACACACGAGAAGGAACAGATCAAGACCCTCAACAAGTTTGCCTCCTTCATCAACAAGGTACGGTTCCTGGAGCAGCAGAACAAGATGCGGGAGACCAAGTGGAGTCTCCTGCAGGAGCAGAAGATGGCTCAGAGCAACATGTACATGTTGGAGAGCTACATCAACAACCTTAGGCGGCAGCTGGAGACTCTAGGCCAGGAGAAGCTGAAGCTGGAGGCGGAGCTTGGCAACATGCAGGGGCTGGTGGAGGACTTCAAGAACAAGTATGAGGATGAGATCAATAAGGGTACAGAGCTGGAGAATGAATTTGTCCTCATCAAGAAGGATGTGGATGAAGCTTACATAAACAAGGTAGAGCTGGAGTCTCGCCTGGAAGGGCTGACTGAGATCAACTTCCTCAGGCAGCTGTATGAAGAGGAGATCCGGGATCTGCAGTCCCAGATTTCGGACACGTCTGTAGCTCTGTCCATGGACAACAGCCACTCCCTAGACATGGAAAGCATCATCGCCGAGGTCAAGATGCAGTACGAGGAGATCGCCAACCACAGCCGGGCTGAGGCTGAGAACATGGACCAAATCAAGTATAAGGAGCTGCAGACCCTGCCTGGGAAGCACGAGGATCACCTGCGGAGTACAAAGACTGAGATCTCCGAGATGAACCGGAACATCAGCCGGTCCCAGGCGGAGATTGAGGGCCTCAAAGGCCAGAAGGCTTCCCTGGAGGCCGCCATCGCAAATGCGGAGCAGCGTGGGGAGCTGGCCGTTAAGGAGGCCAACACCAAGGTGTCTGAGCTGGAGGCCGCCCTGCAGCGGGTCAAGCAGGACATGGCGCGGCAGCGGCGTGAGTACCAGGAGCTGATGAACGAACGTCAGGCTGGCCCTGGACATCGAGATCGCCACCTACAGGAAGCTGCTGGAGGGCGAGGAGAGCCGGTTGGAGTCTGGGATGCAGAAGGTGAGTATCCATAGGAAGACCACTAGCGGCTATGCAGGTGATCTGAGCTCAGCCTGCGGGGGCCTCACAAGCCCCGGCCTCAGCTACGCCATGGGCTGCAGCTTTGGCTCTGGCGCGGGCTCCAACTCCTTCAGCCGCACCAGCTCCCCGAGGGCCGTGGTTGTGAGGAAGATCGAGACCCGCGATGGGAAGCTGGTGTCCGAGTCCTCTGACGTCCTGCCCAAGTGAAAGGCTGTGGCAGCACCTCCCAGCCTGCCCCTCCTGCGGCTGCCCTAAAGCCCGGGAGGAAGGCCGCAGGGGAGCACAGGGAACGGGAGACCCACCTGAGGCTCAGCCCACCTGCGGGCGAGTTTACTGCCTGGTGACCCCCCTTGCCCGTGCCTCCAGCTACAAAACAATTCAATTGCTTTTCCACCCACCGCCCCGCCCCAAAATAAAACCTCAGCTAGCTCTGGGGGAAAGAAGAAAGAGAGAGAGAGAGGAAGGAAGGAAGGAAGGAAGGAAGGAAGGAAGGAAGGAAGGAAGGAAGGAAGGAAAAAAAGAAAAGAAAAAAACTGTGTGGCCAGAGAGTTTTTGAGGATCACAGTGTTACACACATATGTACGCTTTCTCAGAGATTCACAATAAACTTTAGCATACCAAATGCCTCCATGAGACATTCTAATAAAGCTTTACAACAAACACCAATTTAACTGTTTAGTGTTTCCCAAATATATTTTACCAAGAATCCTATGTGTGTTCTAAACAGCTTGGGCAGCACTGGACAAGATTTCCTAAGGGCCTTCCAGCTCTAATTGGACCCACCCCTGGTCAGGTTTGTCAGGGTTGTTTATCAGGGACCTAGAAGTTAGTAGTTCAAAGGGGACCTCAGGTGGGGTGCCATGGCTCATGCCTATAATCCCAGTGCTTTGGGAGGCCAAGGCAGAAGGATTGCTTGAGGCCAGGGGTTCAAGACCAACCTGGGCAACACAGCAAGACCCCATCTGTACAAAGAACTTAAAAAATTAGCTAAGCGTGGTGGTGCACCCTTGTAGTCCCAGCTACTTAGGAGGCTGAGGCAGGAGGATCACTGGAGCCCAGGAGTTCTAGGCTAGGCTACAGTAGCTAGGGTCCCACCAATGCACTCCAGCCTGGGCAATAAAGCAGGACTCTGTCTCCAAAAAAAAAGCAAAGGGGAACTCAGAAACCAGACAGCCTGGGTTCATATCCATGGTTTTCTACTATCTAGCTTTGCAAACTTAATCATGTAAAATTAATTTATCTGTACTTTAGTTCCTTCATCTATGAAATGGAGACAATAATATCATCTGTTTCACAGAGTCATTGTAAGAATTGAATGTGTTAACGCAACATATAAAATGCTTAGCGGATTACGTAGCAGCTTGTAAGTGCTGTGTATGTTAACATTTGCAACATCCAAAACGCTTATCTGATGCAACAGCCTAAGAGAAGAAAGAGCGAATGAAAAAAACTGACGTTTGCTGGGGATCTACTAGTTTTCATGCCAGATGCTTTACATACATAATCTCATTAAATCTTCACCATAAAACTAAGATCGAAATATAGTCTTTCATTTTACAGGTGAGTAAAACAAAGCTCTGAGGTATTCAAGAATCTGCCTGATATCACATGAAAAAATACTAAGACAAAAAATTGAGTCTCAAATTCAAGCATCCCTGACTTCAAAACTTAAGTTCGTTCTAACACATCACACTGCCTTCAAGAGTGAAAAGTAATAAACTTTCTACCATTTTATAGATGAAGAATGAGGCATATAAACTAAAATATTTCTCAGGATCACACAGTAAGGTTTGAATTAGAAAATAATCTACTTCATGTCATTCACCTCTATAATGTATTTATTACTGGATCCTAAAAGCAAAAGGACGTGTGAAAAGGGAAAAAGAATGTATCTCTTAATTTTGATCAGGGTACAACTTTAAAAATTTAGATTATTTTATCTTTCAATTAAGCATCTCCTGCACGTATTATGTCACATTTTGCAGAGATTTCGGCCTTCCCTACCTGACTCAGATTATGTTTTTAGAGAAGCATAGGTCTGAGGTAGACATTTAAAGGTCAAATTAATTCTACTGCCTCCAGAAAGAATGGGATCAAAATAAATCTCAAATGATAATCCCTTAACCTATTCTACTTTTAAATATTCAGAGATGAAAATTCTGTGACTTTGGTTTTTAAAAATTCAAATATTAACAATATATTTAAAATGTTACAGTATGCAAGGACCTTTGAGACATTTGTGAAAATAAAAACACATTAATCAAAAAAAATGAGAAAAAGATAGAATAAGAATAATTGATTTACCATGATGGACTATAGTTTGTGCACTAAGAACTGAAATTCAGGACTAAGGACTTGGGGGAGTAATTTATTGGATATTAATCTTCTGTCTTAGCAGGCAAAGCACGGCTTTACTTAGATATCTCTGCTGCATCTAAAGTTTTAAAATATGGAGTCAAAAATATATCTCTGCCACATATCCCATCCTGCCATTCTACCTGGTTCACCTTATCACTAAAACTTGTTTTTTACAGCAATGTCAAAGATGATAGAGCTTAGAGAGATTTCCATTTCGCAAGTAAAAAAGGGCAGACAGGTGGTGCAACAGCCTGCAGTGTGCTCAGAGGATGCAGCTAGCTGCCTAAATCCCAGCATCAGAGCCTGTCCGGGGATCACAGGGCATCTCATTGATCAGGCAACTTGCAAAGAACCATAGGGATGCATGGGCGATGTGTCAGCACCTGAATTTTCCGTTTGGGATCAGTGAGTGAGAGAAGGGATGGGGACAGGCACTCTTGATTCAGCTGAAAGAAAGCAATCTCTTTCTTTAGGAGTTTATAATAATGTGAAATTTATACAGTGGGTAACAGAGAACGTATTTTAACCTACAGAGTAGATAAAGGAGGTGTATCTGCATAACCTAAGTAGAACCTCCAACAGTTTAGATTTAGAAGAGGGGTGCAGAACTACAGGGTGTTCTTTGGAAGGCCTGTTCCACCCTTTTTTTTGGTTTGCAGATATGCATTCATTAGGATGTGTGGGCTGTCCCCATACGATTGCAGAACAGTGCCTACCTGGAAAAGGAACATATTTTAGCCAAGTTTGTTCTTTGGAAGCTAGGTCTCCATTCTCAGAGAACCACTATTTTTTGGAGTGTCATAGAAACTAACTCACCAAAATGCAAAAAAAAAGGAAAATTCCTAAGATACTGAGATGTCTGTGATGCAAATTCAAAAAGAATTCTTGGCTCTGGCAATTCCTACCCTTCTACTTAAGGTTATAATTAAAGGCAAATGTAAAGCAAGTTGGTGGTTGCTGGGAGAACAATGTGCTAGAAGGACATTCTGCAATCTTGTTTACTGCATTTAATGTTCAGGATCTTTCCAGAAGCTCAACCTCAAAGGTCCAATTGAATGAGAGTGAAGAGGATGGGAGTTCTGCTTGTAATTTTCCTAGTGCTTGTTTCTTACCAGTCTTATCTCTGGTGTAAAAATGGCCACATCCATCATTGAAGAGAAATATTTCCTATTTGTCTGAGCAAAGAGTAGCTCATATTTATAAATTGCCAAACAGAAATAACCATTCTGAATCTTACCCAGGCATTGAAGAGTAAGAGGAGCTAGGAGTACTGATTTCCTAGGCTCTGTCCTTTAAGAAAATCTAGTGTGTGTCATCGTGTTTGTTTTCATTATCTTAAGTTCTAAAATATCCTGTACATCCCTCAGATCATCCACTTCATTTTTTTCAACTTTGAACTCATTGTTAAGATTCCTAAGCATAAGGCCAGGCGTGGTGGCTTATGCCTGTAATCCTAGCACTTTTGGAGCCCGAGGTGGGTGGATTACCTGAGGTCAGGAGTTTGAGACCAGCCTGGCCAACATGGTGAAACCCCATCTCTACTAAAAATACTAAAATTAGCCAGGCATGGTGGGAGGAACCTATAATCCCAGCTACTCGGGAGGCTGAGGCAGGACAATCGCTTGAACCCAGGAGGCGGAGGTTGCAGTGAGCCGAGAAGCCTGGACAAAATAGCAAAACTCCGTCTAAAAAAAAAGAAAAAAAATTCCTAAGCATAAACCCTGTTACTCTTAAAATACCACTTCCAATCACTGCAACACTTTGTGACTCCTTTTAACAACAGCAATAAAACTTACCAGCGCAGTAGCCAACCAAAGAATACGTATATTAAAGGATGATCTGGGTGTTAATAAAAATCTCTAATTTCCCCTATCTGTGTATACAAGGGCCAGGCTTTTGAGTCATTTGTCAGTTTTTTTGTTTGGGTTTTGTGGTTTTGAAACAGGGTCTCACTCTTTCTTTCACACAGACAGGAGGGCAGTGGCACAATCGCAGCTTACTGAAGCCTCAACCTCCTGGACGCAAGCAATCCTCTGACTTCAGCCTCCCCAGGAGCTAGGACTACAGGTGAATGCCACCACGCCCGGCTCATTTTTGTATTTTTTGTAGACATAGGATTCTGCCGTGTTGTCCAGGCTGGTCTTAAACTCCTGGGCTCAAGCGATCCACCTACCTTGGCCTTCCAAAGTGCAGGGATTACAGGCATGAGCCACGGAGCCTGGCCTTTGTCAGTTAAATAGTGCTATTTCAGGGTTATGCACACACACATACACACACACACACAAAACCCTGCCCCAAATCTCTCTCTCTCTCTCTTTCTCCATCTTTCTAAATAGGTATGCAATAAAGAACTTTCCAAAAAGCCCCTTTTAGCATGCAGATATGTTTTTCCCCTAGAGGGGCTGCATTTAGCCCATTACTGAGCATTAATTCAGATTAGCTTCTCAGATTAGCAGAACATCGCCCTGAGGAAAAGGCACATAGGACAGGTGAATTTCACAGGACAGGGACTAAACACTCTCTTCTCAGGGAGTATGAGGGAGAGCAAAGGAGTTTTTCTAGGCAGGCAACTCTCAGCCCAGAAATCCCAGTCAAGCAGAGAATCCTCTGGCTGTCAAGCTCCCCGCCCCAGAGTCCAGCCCTGGGCATGGTATGAAATCTCTGAGCCTGAATCCGCCGTCCAGAGAGAGCTCTGCATCTGGGGGATGAGAGTGGGGACTCTGTGGCTGAATCCTGACTCTGCCACTTCTGAAATTAAACTTCCTGTGCTTCAGTGTCTTCCCATTCTCACCTATAAAATGGGAATTATAAAAGGATTCTTTCATTGGACTATTAAGAGAATAAATGAAACCCATGTGAAGTACTTGCAAGAGAGCATGGCACGTACAGACTAAGTGTTAGCTGTGGTCAGCATCAAGAAGCAATAACTAACCACATGTTCCCAATTGTTAAACCACACACCCCTTTGGAAAAAGGTTGAAAGAATGTACAGTGAAAGTTAATGAACGTCTCTTAATAGTAAAAATTATGGTTGCTTCTTTTAAGTGTTTTTTCCTTATGCATTTTCCTAAATTTCTTACAATGAATAAGATTAGTTTGACCAAAACAATTTACAAAAGCCTAATTAATATTTTATGTAAAAGGATGATGATTTGTATCTTATTTATAATAACAAAAATAAATTGGAAACAAAAAAGTTTCTATTAATAGAGATTTGTTTAATAAAGTATGATTCACTCATGTAATAGAATTATGCACCTACAGTTTTAAAACATATCATTGAAAAGTGTTTATTGGCATAAGAAAACACTCATAATAGGGTATATAAAAATTTTTTAATGCTAAATAAAATGCAATGTCTAGTTTACCATAATATATTTTTGTACAACTATAAAAGCTATATAAAATATCAAAATGTATATATTCCAAAATTGTTAACCACAATGATGTTGACATCACAGGATTGCAGGTATTCTTAATTTCTTTTGTATATTTTTTATAAATTTTCAAAATCTTCAATAAAAATGTCTATAGCTTATAAAATGGAAGGCAAGACCAAATATTATAGAAATAAATACTCGCACCTGTAATCCCAGTACTTTGGGAGGCCAAGGCGGGTGGATCACTTGAGGCCAGGAATTCAAGACCAGCCTGGCCAACACGGCAAAAACCCATCTGTACTAAAAATACAAAACAATTAGTCAGGCTTGGTGGTATGTGCCTGTAATCCCAGCGACTCAGGAGGCTGAGGGACAAGAATCGCTTGAACCCAGGAAGCAGAGGTTGCAGTGAGTTGAGATTATGCCACTGCACTCCAGCCTGGGTGACAGAGGGAGACTCTGTCTCAAATAAATAAACAGATTAATCTTCAGCGCTTTGGTCAGTAGGCTACAGTGGAGAAGCTGAGATTCTGGCAAATAATTAATAAATAGAAAACAGCTTGTTGCTTTCAACACTGTTCCTCTGCCCATAGTTGGCAGCAACCAACTCCCACACTGGATATATAGGGACGAAGGAAGTATAGAAAGTAAGAAAGGAAACTTTTGGAAGAAACTGCAAGATGCTGGGCAAGAGACTAGAGCTGAGCCATAAGTTCCAGAGGAGAATTTTCCTACATCCATCCAGGACAAACATAGAAGAGCAAACACAACGCAGTCTACTACTCAGTTTATGACATATGGCCAATCAAATACATGCATCCAAATCAAAAGTGCCAAATGAATTCTTCTGCCAATTCTTACGATTTCTGTGCAATTTAAAGAGTGAAATCAGAGAAAAATAAAGACAAAATAACCATATTGAATAGTAAGACAGCAAGTGACTCCAGGGTCATGAATAAACCCAGAACAGCCAGTCCCTGGTGGCCACTTTAGTGACAGAGGGCAAGGGGGCGAGATCATCCCCAAAGATCTGCCCTTTGGTGCTCCTTGCAGCCTCTGCCCCTCATCTAATAAATGTGAACATGTTAAAGCATTAGGAATAGATTGTGCTGACTTTCCAAGAGACAGTGTCATTTTTTTAAGTAGTGCTCAGTTTACAAGCAAATCTTAACACCATGCAACAAATTGCTAATAATGGCATTCAAAAGTCAAAAATGACCACAACGATCTAAGTCATGGACATGGAGAGTAGAAGGATGGTTACCAGAAGCTGGGAAGGGTAGTGGGGTGGGGAAGAAGGTGGGGATAGTTAATGGGTACAAAAAAAATAGAATGAACGCAACTTACTATTTGATAGCACAACAGGATGACTATAGTCAATAATAACCTTATGGTGCGTTTTTAAATAGCTAAAAGAGTATAATTAGATTATTTATAACACAAAGAATAAACGCTTGAGGGGATGGGTTCACCACTCTCCATGATGTGATTATTACACACTGCATGCCCGTATCAAAACGTCTCATGTACCCCGTAAATATATACACCTACTAGGGACCCACAAAAATTTAAAAATTAAATAAAAATTTTGACCTGGAGCCATGGCTCATGCCTGTAATCCCAAAACTTTGGGAAGCTAAGGCAGGTGGATCACTTGAGGCCAGGAGTTCAAGACCGGCCTGGCCAAAATGGCAAAACCCTGTCTCCACTAAAAATATAAAAATTAGCCAGATTTTGTGGTGCACACCTGTAGTCCCAGCTACTGGGGAGGCTGAGGCACAAGAATTGCTTAAATCCAGGATGTTGGGGTTGCAGTGAGCTGAGATCATGCTACTGCACTCTAGCCTGGGCGACAGAGTGAGACTCTGCCTCAAAAAAATAAATAAAATAAAATAAAATAAAATAAAATAAAAATGTTGAAAGTCAAAGATGGAAAGGGCAAAATTAACTTTCCCAGGACTCTTTGAATCAAGCGACAGGTTTGAGTCCCAATTATCAGTGAACCTGTGTCTTACAGCCACCTCTCCATGTTAGTCTGCCTGTGTGCACCTGTGTGTTGCCTATTCTTCAAAATGCAAACGGGAGGGAAGACTGTGGGTTTGTGAGAGGAAAGATTATAGGTTCCGGTCAACACTGAGTTGGAATCTAGACCCCTCCTTTTCTTCCTGGGTCACTTTTAGCAAGTTCCTGAACATCCCTGCCTCTCAGTTACCTCCTCTATAATACAAGGGCTATCAAGCCCAATGCTGATGCTAGACATAGAATGTCAAGCACCTGAAATTCTTGGTGCAGTCAGGAATAAAACTACAGAAAAGTAAAAACATCTTTCTCAGAGTCCTACAACATGTCTCGGTTTAGTGCTTTTGTGCTGGGAATTTTCTTGTTCAACTGGACCTTTGGAATGAAAAGGATACAATCTGCATTTAGGGTGCCTTCCAGTCCCCTGAACAGTCCCCTCTGCTGAAATTGTGCTAAAGCCCAGGACCAGCCGGGAGTCCCCTTACCAAGACCACCTCTTAGAAATTGAGTCAAATTGCATATTACCCCATATTTAAAAATGACAGTTGCCTTAGAAACAAAACTCACTGATACAGGGAACACTTATTCCATCTCCAGTATTTCAACTGCTTTGAGAAACAAGGTACTAAAAGTATGTTTTGCTAACGTTTTAAAGCCTAATACATTTAATCCAGGAGCCCAAATGAACATCAATTGTCCAATTAAACGTATGTTCTCAAAATCTAAAATACTCCTAGTCACAGTGTTACAACTTAAAATAGACACTCAGGCTAATCTTACAGGCCCCCAGGTTTCTAGTGGCTTCCCTTTGCAGGCTGATTTCTACAAGTAGCAACTGCTTTCATCGATGTTTCCCCACTGTGTGTCTTCACGGTAAAGATTCCTGTGCACCTTGCAAATTCAAACACTCCATCTGGATGCATTTGTCACCTACAGAAAACACAAAAGCATTTCTCAAAGTAACAGAACTCCACTGCTTTGCAAACTTCCTATTTCACAGCACGGAGTGGGAGAGGCAGAGAGAGGAGAGGAAAAAAAAAAAAAAAGTACACCGAGTTCCTCTGAAGCCCCCTCCTGACATTTCCAGACTTATTGGCCAGTTTTCACACTGACTTCAATCAACCTCTTTAATCCTCTAAGGAAAGAGCATTTTTAATTCACCGATTGGCTGATAAGCTTGAAGCCAAAGACTGATTTACACGTAGATGAATTGTGCTTACAAGATGGAACTTCGAGCATTAGAAGCGGATCTGAATTTCCTATCTGTCATTTTATTTGCCACATTCATTTTTTCTCTGCCATTACGCTTGCTGATTGTGATCTTTCAGCGCTATTGGGCCCCTGCTTCCACAGTTTTTAATCTGCCTTTAATCCCATAGATTTTAAATATTCCCAGCACCGAGAGACTGGAGGCAATTAACTGCCCTTCTGATGCGCTTCTTATCAGTTGCCTCCTTGTATCTCTCAGAAGCAGCCTCAAGACACTTCCAGGCTGACAAATACTACCAGCATTTCAGATGAAGAATCCACTGCAAATGGGAACGTGAAGTCCAGCTGTGCACGCTGATGTTGAGCGATCGCAGCCGTTTTTGGAGGAAGAAATTGGGAAGGGAAGGCTGGGGAGACAGGCACTGGGTGCCAGAGCCCCCGGTGCGCAGGCTCAGAAGCAATGCCCTCGTAATGGCTTTTTGGACTTGGGAGAAAAAATAATAATAAAGGTGCATTGTGTAATCTGCTTAATCTGACTGCTGTTTTTAACTAGAAAATCATTTTCAGCTCTCTGGCTTTAACGAGGGATTCAGAGGGGCTATCAAAAGGAGACATCAGGTAGCATAAGCTCTTTGAATCCGGCTCACGCCTCCTCTCTGGGCCTTGTTTCCTTTTGTGCCCGTTTTAAATGGGTTACAATGCAAATCTGCCCACTGGGTTTCCCCACCACTAGTCGAGAAATTTCTAACACCTTTAAACTGATGTTCATTCGAATTTGAGCAAATTTAGATTTTCAAACAGAACTTTACACCTCAATTTCTGCATTATAGGCTAATGTGCTCTGAGGATCACTATGGACCCTAATCAAGGTGACACAACCCGGTCACCACGAAAGAAAACAGTAATTGTCATTAAAATGTGCGTGTTCATTTACTACACTTACATACGCTCTAAAAAAAGGCCAGCTTCCCACTTCAGAGCCTACTCAGGGCCCTGAGGGGAACAGTCCTAGATACAGAAGGAGCTTCCTTTGGTCTCTCATTGAGGATAAGTCAGCTTGACTCTATCACCTATTCCTGGTTAAAAGTTTGAGCCTAGTGCTATTTTGAAAGTTAGTGTTAAAATGAAAAAAAAAAAAAAAAAGAAGAAGTTTAAAGCTATAATCCAAAAGATGGAGAGAAAGGCCCTCCTTCGCCCACTGGACATCATATCTCAGAAAACCGAGTGACTGGTTCTCTTCCTTAGACAACCAATCTCCTAAGCAGACATATCTGCTTATAACAGTTTGACATATAACAATTTGACTTCCAAGTGATCAAGCTATTTGGGCTTTTCATAAGAAAGCTGTGTGTACTGTTTTGTATTGTCTTGCTGTGTGTGTGAACGCATACATTTCTTGTAAATTCTTCTTACCATCAGGTCAGATTGCCATTAGTTCACCCAATGTTGAGTGCCTTTGTCAGTAATTCCTTCTACCACAAATTCAGCCACACTCATTTTGGTTTATGCTGACATCTCTCCTCATAGCTGTGCCATGAGTTTTCTTGTGCAGAAGTAAATGTAACCCTCCCTCTGTGGGGAAAAAATGATATATGTCTCTGACCTTACTCAGTTTAAGGGTTGGTCCCCAAATCTAACCATATTTTCTTTGGGTGAAAAATAGGCATTAAATAAGCAGGCAATCATGTATCCAAGAAGAGTTCTCTATCTTTTGGAGGCTGCTCTATATCTTTTGGGAACAAAAATTATAGAGGATAATGTCAAACAGGGAGAGAGGAGATGGCAGGGGAGACAAACAATGCATTAAGTGCATGTGGTTAATTGATTGGCTGCACTTTCTGTACTAAAAGAAAAATGCAAGCTTTTTCATTCAACCTCTGCCGTGAACCAAGCACATTGTAAATGGACGGATGTTACCGTGTGGCAATGCTATGTTGAGAGGTTGTTTATAAACAACACCCAGCAACATAAACAAGGGAGCATCAAGAAAAGCAAATGATGAGGGAGAGGCCACAACTTCATTATATAACAAGAGGAACACCGGGTAGCAGCTCTCGCTGTGTTGTTTTGCTGTGACTTGCAGCTTTGCTTAAGCATTTTAAAGATTCTTGCAGGTCTTTTTCAAGCTGCCAGCTCTAGCCTGCGAATTATGGTAATGTGCCACTTCTGAGCCCTCGGCAGGATTTGCAACAGAGAAATCACATCAGCCTATGCTGATTAGCAATTCCATTCCATCCAGAGATTTATATAAAAAAACTATCTTACATTTTGCTTTTTAATAAGAATGATCGCTATCTCAAATTGAGTCCCAGCAAATTTTAATAAAGGCCCAAGGTTGAGTGGCATTTTGCATGCTGATTTAGCTGTGATTGCTAGCTTTTGATGAGCTCTACCCTGGCATGTATAGCTCTCCTCAGAGCAGGTTTAAAGACCAGGAGTAAGGAAAAGGATAAAAATAAAACTTCCAACTAAAATTCGAGGTCTTTTCTTTCTGTGATTGATTACAGAATAAATACCAACATGCATCTTTGGATTCAACCTAAGAGTGAAATTCCCTACTGTTAAACAGCTGGTTTTTTTTTAAAATGACTTTTCATATACCAACCTGTCAAAATATGTTAACTTTGATGACTGCAATTATTATTTTCAAAAGATGTTATCCATCTATTTATCTATCTTCCACCCTGATATTTCTTCTTAAATCATATGCAGAGCCACAAACAAGTAACATTTTGGTTTCCTGATAAGTAAAATGTCAATAAATAAATATCTCTTGAGAGGTAAAGTTCTCCTTTGTTGAAATAGAGGCACATTAACTAGGCTGAACAGGAAAGCTGGAGGTTAACTGAGATTTTCAGCCTATGTCCATGGTTGGAAAAGACTTCTCCAAGAAGACAAAGAATATTTGGGCACAGTCCCTATGGTTGTTTCAATGTTTTGTGTAACTTAAAAAACTAACATGTCAATGATTATAGTTTTATGAGATGGTGTTAATACTTGTTGTTAGACACCATTTATCTCTGTTGTCCCTGATTTCATTGTTATGTAGATCTGTCTACTATAATTCCACACTACCATGAAGGTCCCCTCAAGCAGTTAAGGGAACATCCTGTTCAAGCTTGCCTGCCTACCAAAGAAAGATGTGATTGGCCAATACAAAGCAGAATTCAAATTAAGCCGAAGAATACATATGTGATTTGGTTCATTGGCTAAAGTTCACCAAATTCCACCCAACAGATAGGCCAAGAGTTTCCAAAGCAGAGATTCTAAGAAAAAATAAATAAAAAGACTGCAGCTAAATCACAGAAATAACTAAATCTCAAAATGCATACAACCATTTTTAATAGAATTTTAGCAGTAAGAAAGTATTGTTCTAATAGCCAAGCACTTCTTGGTTATAGCATTTTTCCCACAGAAATCCTTGTTTGGTTTTCCTGTTTTTTAGGGGAAAATAGAAAAATGAGGTAACATAATAATGTTCATCACAAAAGACAGTAATCACACGAAAACTTAGCTAGTCAGTATTGTCAAGAAATTTTCCAGATAATTAAAGCCTACCCATTTACACGTCTTTGTTGTTTTGCATTAGAAATATTCCTTATAAGTATTTTACATTTGTATACTTTCTTAAACAAAACAAAATCTACACTATTTAATCATTTTTGTTTCAGTTGCTCTAATGGACATTTTTGTGATACACTAAGTATTCTAAATACATTTATAAATAGTAAATAATGGTAACATTAATATTAATAGTAAATAATGGTAACATAAATATTAGATATTATCATTTACCTTTTCAATAAATAATGTATTGAACATCGATGATAAGCCAAAACCACTGCTTAGTCCTGGAAAATGCAATGATAAACAAGACATAAATCTGTCTTGTAGACAGTAAGATTGATTACTGAATTAGCTTACCAGCTACCTGAGGTAGACATTAATAACATAAGGTGGTCAGTGCTACGACAAGGGAATATGCTGGGCACTATGGAGAAACACAGTCTGATGAGAAGGTGCTTAGGACAGGATTCCTAGTGATATAATCTCAAAGCTGAGTCCTAAAGGATAAAAATAGGCCAGGTGCAGTGGCTCATGCCTATAATCCCAACATTTTGGAACCTCAAGGTGGGAGAATGGCTTGAGGCCAGGAGTTCAAGACCAGCCTGGGAAACAGAGTGAGATCCCACCTCTACAAAAAATAAATAATTACCCAGGCATGGTGGTGTGCTACTGGGAAGGCTGAGGTGGGAGGATCACTTGAGCCCAGGAGGTCGAGGCTGTGGTGAGCAATGAACACACCACTGCACTTCAGCCTCAGTGAAAAAGCAAGACCTAGCCAAAAAAAAAAAAAAAAAAAAAATCAATAGGGATCAATGCTAGTTAGCTAAGTTAAAAAATAGTTGAGATCCTGGGGTTAGAGAAAGCAGGAACACAAATAAATCCTGATAACTGTTAAGTAGCAGTCTAGTGGGAACTGTTCACAGTTTTCAAAGCACTCAACAAATATTTATGAGCATCTACCATGCGCCAGCTACCTTTCCACATTCTGGGGTTTAGTTATGAACAATAAATCTAACTCTAGCCTCATGACCTCATGAACTCTACATTTTAGTATAGGCAGCACAAAATTGAAGAAAGAAAGAAAAGGAAAGAAAGAAAGAAAGAGAGAGAGGGAGGGAGGGAGAGAGAGAGAAAGAGAAAGAGAGAAAGAGGAAGAGAGGAAGAGAGAAAGAGAGAGGGAGGGAGGAAGGAAGGAAGGAAACAGAAGAAAGAAAGTAAAAGAAAGAAAGAAGGAAAGAAAGAAAGAAAGAAAAAGAAAGAAAGACAGAAAGAAAGAAGGGAGGGAGGGAGGGAAGGAAGGAAGGAAGGAAGGAAGGAGAGAGAAAGAAAGAAGGAAATAAAGAAAGAGAAAGGAGGGAAGGAGGGAGGGAGGGAAAGAAGGAAGGAAGGAAGGAAGGAAAGAAGGAAGGAAGGAGAGAGAAAGAAAGAGAAAGAAAGAAAGAGAAGGAGAGGGAGAAAGAGACAAAGAGAAAGAAAGAAGCAGGAGAAGAAAAATAAGAAGAAAGCAAACAAGCAATGCTATGTAAAACAGAATAAGTAGAATAAGTATTACAGAGAAAATTAACTAAGGAGGTGGGGAATATCTTAGATTGTGATATGTTAGGCTCTGTGTCCCCACCCAAATCTCACGCTGTTCTCATGATAGTGAGGGAGTTCTCACAGTATCTGATGGGTTTAAAAGTGGCAGTTTCTCCTGCACTCTGTTTCCTGCTGCCTTGTGAAGAAGGTGCCTGCTTCCCCTTCGCCTTCTGCCGGGATTGTAAGTTTCCTGAGGCCTCCTCAGCCATGCAGAACTGTGAGTCAATTAAACCTCTTTTGCTTATAAATTACCCAGTCTCAGGTAGTATCTTTATAGTCGTGTGAAAACTGACTAATGCAGATTGAATGACGAGAAAAGACCTAAGAGATTTAATACAGGAAATTGGTAACAACTAGAGAATGTTAAAAGTGATCAGATATCCATTTCAGAAATTCTCCACAGCTGCTCTGAGAAGACTGATTTGGATAAGAGTAAGACTGAAGAGAGGGAAACCAGGTAGGAAACTGTCACCTGCCCTAGCTGAGAAAGGAAGTGATCTGCATTGAGATAGTGGTCGCCAACTGAGGTAGGGGGTGCCATGGAGAGGACTCAAGGAGGAACCTACAGGAGCTACTGGGGAAGTGGAACTGACAGGATAATATCATGAATCATGGAAACTCAAGGGCAGCCCTGAAGCTTTGGCTTGGGCAACAGTTGGAGAGCACCGCAACACTCCAAGCAGGTGTGGGGGAGGCCAGGACAGGCTTTCAGTTTTGATCCCATTGAGTGTGAGTGTTAGTGCGAGTGTGAATATGAATGTGAGTCAACATGAGCATGATGTGGGAAAGCCACGTGGATATGACACATGTGTAGTTGGGGAAGTAGATCAGAAGCTCACTGGAAAAGTCTAGAAACATCTTCCCTGGTGCTAAAAGGCTGTAAATTTCTTTCTTTCCTATTTATCTCTCCTTCCTCAATGTCAGCTGCCACCTTTATGTAAATTCAGCCCACAGCCTGCTTTTTATTTAAGCTCTTTCTTCTGCAGGATACCCTCTTTAATACATCATTTGATGGGGGTATTTGATAGGTAAATATACCAATCAAAATTCTAACCCTTCAGTGAAGGACTTAAACGTAGAAAACAAAAACAAAATGATGAGAAGAGAATAGTTTCTTTAGGGTTTTATTGTGGGGGGAAGAACTTATCAACAATAAAAGCAAAGAAAAAAGCTAAGAGTATTTTGAGGCAACTCAGGAAAAAACTGATTTAATAATTGATTTAGTTAATCCGCATATTAGATGATTGATAATAATCAATAATTAATATTAATAAATCAATTATTAATATTAATAAATAATATGTAATATATAATATATGATAATGATTAACATATAATATAATTGCTTTCACTAAAAACAAAAGAGGGGCCAAAGGAAACAATTATGAGATATTATTTTCTCCCATTAGATTCCCCAAAAGTTAAAGGAATGATTAAGAAAACAACAACAACCTCCTATGTTGGCAAAGGTGAAATGAAGCAGAACCTTCTTACACTGCTAGTAGAAATGTAAATTTATAGCAATTTTGGAAGGGAATCTGGCAAATGTATCTAGTCTGTCTTGAAAGATGCTTTTTAGTTATTCCAAGAACTTGACCTAAGGAAAGAATCAGTAATGTACATAAATCTTTATGTATAAGGATGTTCATTGCAGCTTTGTTTATATTAGAAAAAAATTGAATATTCCATTAATAGACAATTTCTTAGATCAATTACAATACATAAGATGGAATCACATAATGCATAAAAGTGCCATTTAAAAATATTTAATAATGCAAGGAGGAGTGCTTGCGGTATATTCTCATTTTTAACACAATACTTATGGATTACATAAAAAATGAAAATAGAAACAAAACCATCCATAAAACATATCACATGGCTAACCATTTTATATACTATTTGATCTCCTGCCTCTGTTCAAATAATGTCTTACTGTGAATAGATGCCAAAAAGATATTTGGTTAAAATTAATATCTATTTCTAATTTCATATATGAATAGAATAAAAATTCTTTAATATACGTGATAGTGAAATATTAAAGAAATCTTTATTGAAGTGACTATTAATATTTTTCTGAAAGTTTGAGACAAGGAAATTGGATAAGAGATATGCTTATTGCTGAAAAGATAAAATTATCATTTAGAGATGTATCTCACTACCCAAAATCAACTCAAAAAGCATTAGACAAAATTAAAAAGCTTAGTAAGATGAGTGTAAAGCTTAGTAAAAATACATGCCAGTTAAAAATTACCAATAATAATAATAATAATAATAATAATAATAATAATAATAATACAATAGAGATGGGACCTTGCTATGTTGCCCAGGCTGGTCTCAAACTCTCGGATTCAAGCAATCCTCCCACATTGACCTCCCAAAGTGCTGGGATTCCAGGCATGAGCTACCACACCCAGCCAAGAAGGAATTTTCCATTCACAACAGTGACTTCAGATACAACATATTCATAAAATAAATAAATAACAGACAAATATTCCAGTGGTAAAATGGACAAAAAGCATGGCAGCCAATTTGTAAAGAAGAAACTTAATTGCCCAATGTTTATATAAAGAGTATTGGATATCACTAACAGAAATATTAAAAATAAAACTATAATTAGATACTATTTATTTCTATCCAATTAAAGTATCATTTGAATATTTAAAAAATTGATGGTTGTTAATGTTGAAAGAGCATGTGGAAATTGACAACAATACAGAAATAAACGGCTTATAAAGTAACACAATCATTTTAGAAAGTACTTTTGGCAATGTTTTAAGTATACATTCCTTACAATAAATATGAATTAATTTTGAATAAGAAATCAATAAATGCCACATAATTCACCTGTCTTAATGAGAATTCCAAAAGAATAAGTTTTCTCCAAACTTTGAACTCCCACTGATTTTTCCTTCCTTTCTGCACTTACTTAATTTAGTCTTGTTTTATAGATATTTGCATCTTATCTTTCTCCTCAAACAGTATTTTATTTAACTTCGTATATTCAACACTTAGAAAGTACTTTGCACATAGTAGGTACTTATTTAATGTTCCAGAATTGAATTCCAAGTTTTTAAAAAATTATTTTTAAAATAATCTAATTTTTGCAACCAAGAAATAAAAGCATATTATATTTTACCCAAGATTTTGATAAAGAACACACTTTTTCAAACAGACATAAACTCAACATTAATCACTCTTTTTACATTTGTCATATTTAATGTATTTCAACAATTTAAAAACTATATACTATGACCCAAACGTTAGCACATGCCACACACAAATATGGCCTTTATAAAATGTCTATATATATTATATGGCTATCCATATGTATACGTATTAGAACTATAATTATAATTGACCCAATAGGTAACATTATGTGGAAATGATATATTTTCAAGTGCTAACCTATCAGTTAGTAGTCTTTATAAATTTAAAATATTCACCTACTCTTAATTGCTGCATTAGATGATGTTGGTGTCCATGGACTCCCAAGAAGATTACATTGCTTAACCTCCTCCTTTCAGACAATTATGGTATTATTTGGCTCATTCTGTAGATAATAAAACCAAGGTCAAGAGAGGGGACATGACTCCCCCAAGATTGTTCAATTAGTTAACAGGAAACTTAGAACTGAAATCAAAAACCAAATTCTCTTCCCACTAAACCATGAAGAATCTGATACACTCACTTGCCAAGTGCAGAAAATAAAAATATACAGCCGGGTACGGTGGCTCACACCTGTAATCCTAGCACTTTGGGAGGCCAAGGTGGGCAAGTCACTTGAGGTCAGGAGTTCGAGACAAGCCTGGCCAACATGGTGAAATGCCATCTCTACTCAAATGTGTTGTGGGGATGTGCGCTTATAATCCCAGCTACTCGGGAGGGAGGCTGAGGTAGTGGAATCGCTTGAACCAAGGAGGTGAAGGTTGCAGTGAGCTGAGATCCTACCACTGCACTCCAGCCTGGGTGACAGAGTGAGACTCCGTCTCAAAAAAAGAAAAAGAGAAAAGAAAAAAATATATACATACTTACTGCTGGTTTCTTTTTCCAAGCTTAATAAACTGTGTATATGTATTTGTAGGTATGTGAGAGAGAGAAATGCCAGGGACATTAATAAGGAAATAGAGCATCAGGAACAAGAAACAAAGGTGATTCCCGAGTTTATCATCTGGGTTCCTTAAGAATGAGCATCATACCACATTGTCCAGAAAACTATTTGGAGAACTGAACATGTGAAATCAGAAATCACCTGAACAGATCTAAAAAATTCTGTAGGAAAAGAGTATACAGAGTAAACGAGAGGCCGGGCGCAGTAGCTCGCGCCTGTAATCCCAGCACTTTGGGTGGCCGAGGCAGGTGGATCACGAGGTCAAGGGATAGAGACCATCCTGGACAACATGGTGAAACCTCATCTCTACTAAAAATACAAAACTTAGCTGGGCATGGTGGCGGACGCCTGTAGTCCCAGCTACTTGAGGGGCTGAGGCAGGAGAATAGCTTGAACCCGGGAGGCAGAGGTTGCAGTGAGCCGATTATCGTGCCACTGTACTCCAGCCTGGTGACAGACCGAGACTCCGTCTCAAAAAAAAAAAAAGTAAATGAGAGAGTTGCAAGGTCTGGGAGCAGCCCCATACATGGATACAGGGGAACAATGGTTTGAGCTGTGACTTCAACCTCCCCTGCCACCACCCCCCAAAAAAAGAAGAGAAGAAAAAGATGTGTACAGTCAATCAAGTTCTCTTTCTAAAGAATATGAACTGAGGACAGGGAAGGTGGCTCATGCCTGTTATACCAAGACTTTGGGAGGCTGAGGTAGGAGGATTGCTTGAGACCAGGAGTTGGAGATCAACCTGGGCAACAGGCTAAGATCCCATCTCTACAAAAAATACAAAATATTAATTGGGCATGATGGTGTAAGCCTGTAGTCCT